>NC_000012.12:107460128-107611643 GCF_000001405.40 Homo sapiens
CAAACTTACCAGTGTTCTTTTCCTGCAAAGAAAAGACAGAAAGAGAAAGAGCCTTGGTCTTGAGGGAAAAGGCCTGGGTTCTAGCCCAGCTCTGCATTCAGCAGCTGTGTGGCTTTAGGCAAGTGGCCTAACCTCTCTGAGCTGTTTACTCACTGGAAGATGGGAAAGCTCACTCTCCCTGTGTGGCCTTTGTGAAATTATACTGAGATTCTGGCTGGGAAAATGGTTTGAAAACTCTAGTTCTGGCTGGGCGTGGTGGCTCATGCCTGTAATCCCAGCACTTTGGGAGACCAAGGCAGGTGGATCACCTGAGTGCAGGAGTTCGAGACCACCCTGGGCAACATGACGAAACCACGCCTCTACTAAAATACAAAAATAAAAATAGCTGGGTGTGATGGCACGCCCCTGTAGTCCCAGCTCCTCGGGAGGCTGAGGCACAAGAATCGCTTGAGCCCCGGAGGTGGAAGTGGCAGTGAGCCGAGATCCCACCACTGCACTCCAGCTTGGGCTACAGAGTGAGACTCTCTGAAGAAAAAAAAAGAGAAAAAAGAAAACTCTAGCTCTCCCTCAGAGGGGCCACGGTGTTGCTTCTCTTGCTGACTCAACATCTCTCTTTTCCATCCCACATCAGGGGGCTGGGGGTTGTGTGATGTAAGGCACTCAGAGAGGGTCCCAGTGGGGAAACATATTAAATAATTTTTTAAAATTCCTGCCCCTGTACTGGGTAGAATAGCACGTCCCCCTGGAACCTCAGAATATGATTTTATTTGGAAATAGGGGCTGTGCAGATGTAATTAGTTAAAATAAGGTTGTTTTAGTCTGTTCTCATGCTGCTAATAAAGACATACCCAAGACTGGGTAATTTATAAAGGAAAGAGATGTAATGGGCTCACAGTTCCTCAGGGCTGGGGAGGCCTCACAATCATGGCAGAAGGCAAAGGAGAAGCAAAGGCACGTCCTACATGGTGGCAGGCAAGAGGGCTTATGCAGGGAACTCCCATTTAGGTAACCATCAGATCTTGTGAGACTTGTTCACTACCACGAGAACAGTATGGGCGAACCCACCCCCATGATACAATTATCTCCACCTGGCCCCACCCTTGACACATGGGGATTATTACAATTCAAGGTGAGATTTGAGTGGGGACACAGAGCCAAACCATACATGCTGGATTAAGGTGGACCCTAAATCCAGTATGACTGGCATCCTTAAGAGAAGAGAGGACACACAGAGACACAGACACAGATGGAAGAAGGCCACGTGATGACAGAGGCAGAGATTAGAGGGAGACAGCTACAAGCCAAGGAATGTCAAGGTTTCTGGGAGCCTCCAGAAGCCAGGAGAGGGGCACAAGTTGTCCCTCAGAGCCTCTGGAAGGAACTGGCCTTGCTGGCACCTTGCTTTTGGACTTCTGGCCTCCAAACTACATTTGCACTGTTTTAAGCCACCCAGGAAACGAATCCATTCGCAACCCCTTGTTTTATAAATCCTCGGCTCTTGTGGTTTCTGAATAATCAACTTTCTGCTTAAGACTTGTATTGCAGATTTGCCTTGAAAAAGAAAGTTTTGAGGGTGGGGAAGTTGGGGAGGTAGAGGATATGAATAAGCTTAGAGTCAGAAAGCCAAACCTCAGAGATTCACGTCAGTCCCAAAGCCTCCAGAGAAAGAAAATAAGCCAGGCCTGGGGCTGGGGATCTTGAGCCTGGCACTCGGCATAATCAAATGCTCCCCTGCTGGCATGGTTCCAGAGACAGCTGGAATTCAAATATGCTGATGAATAAATAAGGAGGGAGCCAGGTTTTCTCTGGAGATTTCCATCTGATTTTGCATTGTGGGTTGGGGCAAAGAAGAGGGTGGCCCAGGAGGAGGTGGTCTGCATTGGGAGAAACGTCTGAGCCCTTCCTGATGGGTTGTTTTCCTTTGGGGTCCCTGGGGAGAACTTTGAGACTTCAATCAGCCTCAGTTTAGAAATTCCTTAGTAGAAAAGGAAGTGGGGTTTTGCACATCCTGGAAATCTTCCTCATTTTTGTACTGTTTTATTTGCAGAAAATTTAAAGTTTTCTTTCATTAATGCTTTTAAAAATGGATGGCATTTTAATATTAGTTTAATATTCAATGAATGAAACTATCTTGAGTGTAGCTTTTGGCTTTGCTGTAATTTCTCTTATATCCAGAACAGTTTCTGAGAGCGGAGAAGTCCTCTAAACCAGTGTTTGGGGGGAAGTAAAAGCTTCCCTGGAAACAAAGGACTGGGGATTTGAAAGTCAGTAAGTAGATTTGTGGAACCCTTCTGTGGGCCACATTGTGCTAGACTTCACAGTAAGTTTGCAATGGGAATGGTGATGGTGATGATGGTGGTTATGATAATGGAAATGACACTACTGATGATGGTGGTGATAGCAATGATGGTGGTAGTGATGGTGATGTAGTGATAGTGATGATAATGGTGGCGATAGTGATTATGGTGGTAGTGACAGTTATGATGATGGTGATGATGATGGTGGTAATGATCATGGTACTGAAGTGATGATGGTGGTGATAGTGATGATGATGGTAGTGATGGTGATGATGGTGGTGGTGATGATAATAGTGGTGACAGTGATGATGATGGTGGTGATAGTAACAATGGTGGCAGTGATGGTGATGATGATGTAGTCACAGTGATAATGATGGTGGTGATAATGTAGTGATAGTGATGATGGTGGTGGTGATGATAATAGTAGTGACCGTGATGATAATAGTAGTGACAATGATGATGATGGTGGTGATAGTAACAATGGTGTAGTGACGGTGATGATGACTGTGGTGATGACGCTCTAGTGACAGTGATGATAATAGTGGTGATAGTGATGATGGTGATAATGATGATAGAGTGATAGTGATAATGGTAGTGATAGTGATGATGGTGGTAGTGATGGTGATGATGGTGATGATGATGGTGGTAATGACAATGGTAGTGACAGTGATGATGATGGTGATAGTGATGATGGTGGAAGTGATGGTGATGATGGTGATGATGTAGTGACAATGATGAGGGTGGTGGTGGTAGTAATGATGGGTGATGATGATGTAGTGACAATGATGGTGGTGGTGGTAGTGATGATGGTGGTAGTGATGGTGATGATGGTGATGGTGATGATGATAGAGTGACAGTGATGATGATGGTGGTGGTGGTGATGATGGTGGTAGTGAGGGTGATGGTGGTTGATGATGATGATGGTGGTGATGATGAAAATGATGATGGTATTGATGATGATGACAGTAGTGACCTGATGAACACTGACAATGTACCTGGCCACCTTGATTAGCACTTTATACACATTATCTCATTTCACCCTTACAAACTCCCTATGGGGTAGGTTCTGTGATTACTCCCATTTTACACATAAGATAACCAAGGCACAGCGGGGTTAAGCAACTTGACCAGAGTCCCACAGCCAGTAAGCAACAGAGCTGGGCTTTGAACTAAGATGGTCAGACTCCAAAGTTTGTCCCTAAGCCACATAAACTCAGTATAAGACAAGTGCTTGCAATAATGATAACATCAGCAATAGCAAACACTGTGTATCTCCATCGCACCAGGCATGTGCTGGGTGCTTCATAAACATTCTCATTTAATCTCCTCAGCACTCTCACAAGGGACTTCTACCCTCATTCTGCAGATAAACAACTTTGCCTAATTCTGTGTTAGGAAGCCTCAACCAGCCTCCCTTTCAATCTTTGCTTTTAGAGAACACCATTCCTGCCTGGGATCAGAAAAGATGGTTCCTACACTGCCACCAACTCTCTGTGGGACTGTGGGGGAATCTGCCCTCATCTCTCTGGGCCTCTGTCATTTCATCCAAAACCAACAGGGAGATACAGATGCTCTCCAAGGCTCAGCCTGGTCAGCCCAGGGAGGAGCGGGAGGCACAGTCCAGATGAGCCAGGTTTAGGGGCAGATGCAACCTGGCACTTTTCTTGCCTTGATTGGGCTGGCTGCCTTCTAAATCAGGCCACTTTTGACTCCTGTTAGATGTGGACTGGCTACAGGGTGGGTTGAGAAAGGGAGTTTATGAGACATGAAACATGTGAAGAGTGTGTGTGTGTGTGTGTGTGTGTGTGTGTGTGTGTGTGTGTGTGTGTGTGTGTATTTATGCAGTGGCCAGAGAAGGCCTCTATGAGGAGGTGGTGACTGTTTTTGTTTTCATTTTTGTTTTGAGACAGGGTTTCACTCTGTCACCTGGGCTGGAGTATAGTGGTACAATCATAGCTCACTGCAGCTGCAAACTCCTGGGCTCAAGTGATCCTCCTGCCTCAACCTCCCAACTAACTAGGGCTACAAGCACATGTCACCATGTCTGGCTAGTGTTTTAAAGTTTTGTAAGGCTGGGGTCTCACTATGTTGCCCAGGCTGGTCTCAAACTCCTGACCTCAAGCAATTCTTCTGCCTTGGCCTCCCAAAGTGTTTCCATTACAGGTGTGAGCCACTGGGCCTGGCCAATGGTGACATTTGACCAGAGGCCTGAAAACAGTGAGGGACTGAGCCATCTGTTATCCAGGGAAAGAGCACTCAGGTAGAGGGAGCAGCAGGTGCTAAGACCCTGAGGTCTAAGTAAGCTTATGTATTTGAGCAAGGAGATGGGTGTGTTTCGAGCAGTGGTTCTCTATCAAAGGCAGTTTTACTCCCTCTCCCTTGCACCCAGGGGATGTTGGGCAATGTCTGCAAACATTTCTGGATGGCATAGCTGGGGAGAGAGGTGATGTTACCAGCATCTAGTGAGTAGAGGCCAAGGGTGCTGCTAAGCATCCTACAGCCCACAGGACAGCCTCCCTACCTTACACACACACACACACACACACACACACCCCAGAGAATTCTCTTGGATCCCACACACCAACCATGCTTAGGTTGAGAAACCCTGGTCTAGAGTAGGAGGGGAGAGTGTTAAGAATTGAAGTCAGGGAAGGGCTAGACCATGGAGGGCCTTGGGTGCCATGGCAGGGACTGCCATAGCATTTGTCACAGCATAATAATAATTACCATTATCATTAGTAGGGGTAGTATATCAAACTCAGGCAGAGCATGCCGTCTGCCCTCCAGTGCCCCGAGGATTTGATGCATATTAACCTGTTTACAGCCCACAACAACACAGCGAGGAAGGCACCGCATGTCAAACAACTTTCCTCAGGTCACACGTTAAGGTAGTGTTGCCCAGTGCCTTCCTAGGCAGACCAGCTCCAGGGTGCAAGCTCAGGGTCCCTAGCTCTGCTCTCTAGATTAGGATCATCTGCTTACAACTGTGTTCCTCCCCTACACTGTGAGCCTCTTCCTACCTTTATATCCCCAGCACCTAACATAGGGCTTGGCACACAGTAGGGACTCAATGATGGTTTATTAGATGCAAATGGGCATCTTCAATATAACAGCAGATGCAGTCCCATCATTCTGAACAGTGTGGGCGTCCTGCTCAGGGGCAGGGGGTGCTGGGGGCAGACCTCCCCTGTGATGCTCTGTCCTCATTTACATACCAGGAAGGTCAAGTTCACCGTGGCTGCCCTTCATCACTAGGCCGCTGGGTTGTCTCAAGCCTCAGGCCTCCAGCCTTGCCCACCTGACCTCAGGGGCCTGGCTCATCTTGTCTCTTTCTCCCTTTACACATTTCCAGGCCTAACATCCCTGACTTCCCTCCCAGAAAACACACATCCACACACACAGTCGCGTGCTCTCTCTCCTGTTACGTCTTTCATGCTCTTGCAGAAAATAAATCTCTGCGTTCGTACTGCCTCTCGGGAGTAGTCTTCATTTATCATGCATGCATTCATTTTGTAATCACTTACCAAAGCCCTACTATGCATCCAGCATCGTGCTAGAGGCTGAGGACAGTGAGCAGAGCAAAAGAGACAAACAGCGCGAGCAAGATAGGCAGGTAAACAACAGTCATAAGCCAAACTGTTTTTATCATTTTACCTGCTGCCTTTAATATCCTCGGGGGTGGATGCGCTTGCTTTGGGGGAAAGTCTTAGTGAGCTGCTTGTGGTGGTATTTGGGAGCCTTAGGCTTAGGGCATGGGTGAGAAGGTGTCAGGAGGGGCCCAAGCAAGGGAAAGAGTGGGTCAGTTTCCTCTGCAAGGAGAAGACAGCAGTTGGTTTTACCTAAGAGGATGGAGCAGAGGTTAGAAGAGGGCAGAGGGAAGTGAGGGGAAGAGCAAGGGCCAGTGAGAAGGTGGGGCGCTTGGGACACCGTGAGGTAGGGGACCAGGCTGTCCAGAAGGGGACATTTAAAACAGGACCACTTTCACTGTGAGCTGGGTTGTGTAACTCCAGAAACAATATCCCCACTGTGCCACCCTCCCCAAGCACAAATGTCCAATAGAGGCAGGTGTTCTCACATGTGCTTTGTCAAGTGGCTTCTCGGTGGGTGTCAAAAGGAGCCTGGTTATTATGTGAAAGAAACAGCTTGGAGGAAGAGGAGCCTGCAGGGCACAGGGACTGCAAATGAGACCTGCCCTGGGGGTCTGCAGACTTCGGCAGGGTGGGGAATTTGGACTTCTGCATGGGGTTGATGCCGGGCTATTTCAGATCCCAAAGAGCATGCAGGGCCTCTGGCATCTGGTTAAAGCTTAGCTGAAGGTGTTTCTGGAGAGTTTAATTAGGAACTGTGCTGCTTTGAGCAGGGCCAAGGAGTTCACAATCATTCATTATGGGCTGATGAGGATCAGCAAATGCCTCACCGAGGAAGAAGCATTTGAGTGGCCTTTGAAGGATGGATAGGAGTTGGCTGGACAGTGAGAGAAGTTGGGGGCATTCAAGGCACAGCATGTTCACCATATCGTCTTTCTGAAAGTCAAAGAATTTTGAATCTGAAACACCTCTGGCCCCAAGGGCATTGGAAATGTGATTGTCTATTGTAGTGTCTAACTCACAGTGTCTTTGAGGAGGATAAAAGTCAGGGTATTCAAATGAAGGGCTCAGAACTGTCCAGCCAACACGTGGTGAAACCTCAATAAACGGGAGCTGTCCATGTTGTTGGTATAATGAGCTCCCAAACTCTGAAACCCCTTGGTGTGAGAGTGTGGTCTCAAGTTTGCTGTCTGAAGAGTTGAGGTGCCTTGACCACCTAGCTGAGGTGGGCAAGTCATCCGCACAGCTGTCTGTTTTCGGCTTAGCTGGGGCCCACAAGAAAACGGGCCTTTGTATTTTGTTATTGTAGAATGTGCCGTTCCAACAAGCAGCAGCCGTGCCTACCTCTGGCCAGTGATCCCAGCAGGCATCCCTTGTCCCCCACAAGCCTGGTGTGGCCTGGCGTGGTATAGATAGCCTGTAAACTCCTGACAGCCTTGGCACCTTCTTGTCGTCAGCAACAACCAGAGCACTTGATAATTGTTCACGAATTGAATCTCACCTATTGACTCTAGGCAGAAGCCACTTCGAGACCCGCTTAGGAAACACCTGGATTCTGCGTTACTCCACAGCCACTGACACATGTATGTGCATGCACTCATACACACACACACAAACACACATTCACACACACATGCCAACACACATCAAGACCCAGCTATATCATGATCCACTCAGGGATCCAGAGAAACCAGCTTCTTGAAGCAAAGTTCATTTTTTCCTGCCTATCTCTGTCAGAGACAGGGACTTTAGGGAAAAGACCAGGAGAAAATGCTTCTGTTTACATCAAAGGTCCCTCCTTTTGTTTACTAAGAACTGTTTCCCACACGTTTTCTCTGACCGCTATTAAACAAACAACAGAGGCTTGCCTGGCTTCAGAGGGCTCAAGATGTGGCCACCAACTGATCCCTCCAGATGTGATCCGCTTCCATTTAGAGACCAGAAGAGGCCCCCCTCTCCCCATGTGCAGGAAGAAGAAAAGGAGGCACCTGCAGAGACCCCTCGTCATTGCCTTGGCTTGAAAGATTCTTAGACTTTGCTGAAATGCATCCATGGTTTTCACAACCGAGAAACGCCAGTCATCCTCTGCTCCCTGATTTTAGCTCACGAGCTGAGGTCAGCTGAATTAAGGGCAAAATGTGCCTCCCAGAAGGCTGGGCAGCAGGGAATTGGTGTTGTATTAATCAAGCAAAAAAGGGGAAAATCTGAAGACCAAGCACTCCCTGGCAAGAGTGCAGGTGAGCTGGAGCCAGCCGGCTGGGGTGTTTATTTTTCACTTCTGTGGGCCTGGCAGGAGGTAGGCACTCTTTTCCCTCTTATGCTGGGAGAGAGGGAAGCTGACCAGTCAGTGGCCTTGTGAGTATAAAGAGTTTAAAGGCGCTCCAGCTTCTAGCAGGAGACCACCAGGGCCACAGGAAGTTGCAGATAGCCAGGGACCTGCGTGTGAGTAGCTTGCTGCTGGGAGCTGCCAGCTGGGCACGGGAGACTTTGAGGGTGACCTTGAAAACAAACAATGCTGCTTCAAAGATCCACTGTGGTTGAGGCTGGGTGAGAGAGAACCATCTATAAAGACGGGCTGCGGATTGTGAGCTGAGGGGCATTCCATACTCAGTGGAAGGGAGCGCCCATTTCTTAGTAGTCCACAAGTATTTATTGAGCACCTACTGTGTGTTAGGCAGTGTTTTGGGCAAAGGAGATATAAAGATGAACAAGATAGGAAAAAATAAGTAAATAAAGACATAAATACTATAACTTCTGATGATGTCGAGTGCTATGAAAAAAATGGAGCAGGATATAGGGGCAGAAATGCAACCCATTTTCTAGGCATCTTAACCCATGATGTGGTACAGCAGACACGAGCAGGGTGGTATGACCTTGAAGGCTCACATCCGGGTCACACAACCATTCCGTGCCTCAGCTTTCTCATCTGTGAAAGGGGGCTGATCACTGTAGGGATTTCAGAGGTTCGATAAATAACACCTGTCCTCCCACACCCGCAAAAGTAGGCAGGAAGACAAGGATAACAACATCCCCTTGTTGATGGGTGAGGGCTGGGTTAAGGGATGTGGCTACCTGTGGGGCCTGAAGTGGGATTCCAAACACAGACCCCGGCATGAGACACTGTGACTCACCCCACTCCGGCCACCAGCAGCTCTGGACGGCCACAGGCCTCCCCTGCAGACATCTGCTTCTGATGGGACCCCAGAAGCAGAATGTGTGTTTCCTGTGGGTGGTTGGCTCCCAAAACCAGAAAACAGAGGTGGGAGGAAGGGGTGGAATTGAGCTTCCTGTAACCCTCACATCTGCTGACTCACCAATAGAGGCGTGAATGCAGAACCAGGTAGCCCAGGGTTCAAATCCTGGTCTGGCTCTGCCCTCTGCTAGGTGCAGGACCTTGGACAAGCTGTCCAGCCTTTCTGAGAGTTGATTTTCTCATCCCTAAAATGGGAACAGCACTGGCACCCATCTGATGGGGTTCCCATAAGGAGTAAGTTAGGTGATGCATGTCGGTTACTTAGGACAGTGCCCGTCATGTACGGGGGTGGAGAGGGCGAGGCATCAGACTGGCCTGTTCTCAAAGAAGCCCTCAACTCTGAAGCACAAAGCCACAGAGTTGAGGTTCCCCCAGCAGCAGGCAGTGCCCACCTCATAGGGTGGTTGTGAAGATTTGACTGGTTAATATAAGGACAGTGCCTGGCACACACGAGCACTTATTAGGTAATAATAGCTTGAATCATTTGAAGAAGTGTCAATATTCAATTTTTCTTCATCTACAAAAATGGCAACTTCAAATGGCAGTGATGATCCTTGTTCATCCGTCCTTCCTTTCTCTCTCTTTCTCTTTCTTTCTTTCTTTTCTTTCTTTCTTTCTTTCTTTCTTTCTTTCTTTCTTTCTTTCTTTCTTTCTTTCTCTCTCTCTCTCTTTCTTTCTCTTTCTTTCTTTCTTTCTTTCTTTCTTTCTTTCTTTCTTTCTTTCTTTCTTTCTTTCTTTCTTTCTTTCTCTCTCTCTCTCTCTCTCTCTCTTTCTTTCTTTCTCTCTTTCTTGAGACAGAGTCTTGCTTCGTAACCCAGGCTGGAGCGCAGTGGCATAATCTCGGCTCACTGCAACCTCCACCTCTCAGGCTCAAGTGATTCTCATGCCTCAGCCTCCCAAATAGCTGGGATTACAGGCGTGCATGGCCATACTTGGCTAATTTTTGTGTTTTTAATAGATATGGAGTTTCAGCACATTGGCCAGGCTGGTCTTAAACTCCTGACCTCAAGTGATCCACCCGCCTTACCCTCTCAAAGTACTAGGATTATAGCGTGAGCCACCGTGCCTGGCTGATCCTTGTGATTTCTTAGCAAGGTGCTTATGGTAGGGGCTCAAAAATATTTAGTTCCTTCCTCTCAAATAATCTGGTTGGGATGAGCCAGTCTGGGGTCCCAGGGAACATTGAGAGCCTACCCTCCCCACCTTCACTCGGGCCCAGTGTCCTTTGCCCCGAGGAGGGCCTGGCTGTCAGCCAAGCCACCCCCATCCCCAGGGTCACGGTGTGGGCAGTGCAGCCACAGGAACCAGCATGGACCCTTCATAGACCTGGATGCTCCCAACTTGTCACTCGGAGCAGAGCACACTGCCATCTGCAGGGTCACCGCTGGGCCTCGTCACTTATCATGATTGCTAATTAAAGACAAAATTAACCGACCCTGGCCTGGTGGCACCTCTCCCAATGCCTGGCTCTGGCTGGCTGGGCCTCAGTGGGGAAGGTCTGCCCCTGATACTTGGGATGGTGGCCAGAGCGAGGGGAGTGGAATCCCACCCAGAACGGAGAAGGTGCCAAGCCATCTGGAAAGCTGGGGCCAGCCCGACACCTCACCAGCCAGCTGGGAGAAATGAGATCTTGGGCCAATCTGGGGGTGACAGGAAAGGGAGGGTGAGATGTGGACGTCTTATTCCCAACTGTATCCCCAGCCCCTTAGAGCAGTTGTTGTTGTCAGAGAGAACAGATGTGATGTACTGAGCATGCCAGGCACGAAGGGGGCATTTGATAAATAATAAATTGCTGCGTGGCTTGATGGATGGGGCTGCAAGTGCATAGTCAGTGCTCAGCGTTTTCCGCATACACTTTCAGAATAACAAACCCCTCTATGGTGCTTTTAGTGAGGTGTTATTCTTAGCATTTAAATATATTCATTCAATGGTTCTCACCAGGACTCTATAAAAGATGTTATTTCCCCATTTTACAGATGAGGAAACCAAGGCACAAAGAAGTGAAGTAACCATCACAAGGCCACACAACCAGCAAGTGGTGGAGATAAGAGAGGTCACAAGATTTGGGAACATAAGGGATTATCTGGGTGAACCTAATCTTCCAGAATAGAAGTTGGCTTTTCATCTTCCTAGAATTTTAGGATTGGGTACAGAAGTACAGGCTCCCATTGCAGGTCAAGAGGAGAAAAAGGGAGAGGAAAAGAGAGGAGGTAGTTGTAGTAAAAATAACAGCTTATAGGTATTGAGCCCTTACTGTGTGTCAGGTTCTGTACCCAGCCCTTTCTCTGTTTCATTCTATTTAATCCTTAGAGTAGCAGTACTTTGAGGTTGGTGTGAGCTTTGCCTGCAATCTGTAACTTTTACAAATGAGGAGCATTACAAAATGACCCTGGCATCCCTGGCAAGAGACACAGAAGCAGCTTCCCCTCCATGACCCCCCAGGTCAGGCAGTGTCCTCTCTATGAAACAGGAGGAAGAACACCCCTCACAGAGCCGTGGTGAGGCTCAGGGGCTGAGTGGGCATTAACTCTGCCCCCGTGCCTAGAGTTCAGACTGTGGGCTCCCTTGCTCTGAAGCTTTCTACATGACTGCAAATTGACCCCAGACTGTGAGGCTCCCTTCTGTCCCCTTAGATCTGGTTAGAACCCCCATCAAGAGGCATAATCTCCTTACTTTTCAGATGCAGAAAATGAAACCCAAGGAAGGGTAACTGGAACCTAGGGCCCCAGCCTGATGCAGTCTCTAGGGCTCCTGATACCTCTTGAATCTAAAGAAGGAAAGAGCTGGCTACCATCAGGGAGGATACTGGGGACCAAAGAGAAAACACTGAGGGGCTCTTGTACATGTCTGGGGTGACAGAGCCCAGAACAGAGCCTCTCCACCCATACCCATTATTTCTGCAGCAGAGGCAGGTTTAGGCTGGAGAAGTTCCAGAGCAAGGCAGTCACAGTGATGAAGAGCTTGGAGCAGCTGGCACGTATGTGTACACATGAACCTTAAAGGCTTCTTGGATCTAGGAAGATAAGGGCCAAAGGGAGCTATGATGGGAGCTTATAAATCGGCAAACGGAACCGGGGAAGGGATAGAGCAAACACAGGACCAAGGCACTCTGGCCTCTCCAGGAGCCAGGATAAGACAAAGCTCAACAAGCTATAGGGAGAGGGTCAAAAACATGGACTCTGGGGCCAGACTCCTTTGGTTTGAAGCACTGCTGTGCCATTTATTAGCTGTGTGACCTTAGGCAATTTGGTTGGCCTCTCTGTTCTTCAGTTTACATCTGTAAAATGGAGCCAGGAAACAGAACTTCTCTCACAGGGATGCTCTGATGAGTAAATGAAATACTACCTGAGAAAGGCTTAGAAGAGTGCCTTGTACAAACATAGTGAGTGATGTACGAGCATTGGCTGCTGCTGTTATCAGCACCGCGCCAAGTGGGAACATCCGCCGTTCGGTTCCCCAGATGTTTATCTGATGGAGCCCTCATGGTGGAAAGATGAATGGTCACTGGAGGAGCTCACAGGCTAGTGGGGACAAGACATAATGACAGATTTAAGCATTGAGGGTCCCATAAGGTTTAGCCAACTCCAGGGATGTTCAGTGGGATCATTAGAGGAAGTCAGAGATATCTAGAGTGTGACCTTGGCCTTTTGACCTCCCTCAGCACCATCATCAGAGACAGTCCCACCAGGCGACAGAAGCTGTACCATTCCAGTGTCCTTGCTTTATAGAGGAAGGACAACATGAAGGCCCCAGGTGGCCCAGGGAACAGGCGAGGCCACAGTAAGCAAGGGGCTGAGTGAGGACAGAGAGGTCCTGTGTGGCAGCTTTGTGGATCCTTTGCACCTTTTTCTCTTTTCATTCGTGAACTTCTCTGGGGCAAGATTATTTTTTAATTGAGTGTAATATACATACAGAAAGTGCACACATCAAATGCGTACAGCCCAGTGCCTTTTTACCACCTGAACACACACACCTGTGAACCAGGCCTCGGATTAAGAATTCAAGCATGGCCAACCCCCCATCCTCCCTCTGGTCACTACCATTTCCCACGTGTAATGCTGTTTTGACTCCCACAGCATGGATTCATTTCACCTACTTTTTTTTTTTGAGACCAGTCTTGCTCTGTTGCTCAGGCTGGAGTGCAGTGGCATGATGTTGGCTCACTGCAACCTCTGCCTCCTGGATTCAAGTGATTCTCATGCCTCAGCCTCCTGAGTAGCTGTGACTACAGGCACCTGCCACCTTGCCCGGCTAATTTTTATATTTTTAATAGAGACGGGGTTTCACCATGTGGGCCAGGCTGGTCTCAAACTCCTGACCTCAAGTGATCTGCCCACCTTGGCCTCCCAAATAGTTTCACTTGCTTTTGAACTTCCCCTAAATGGACTGATGCAGTATGCAGTCTTCTGTGTCTGGCTTCTTTTGCTCGACATATTTGTTTGATTCATCCATGTTGTGTGTGGCTGTATTTTATTGCACTTGGTGAAGAAGCCATATATTCTACAAGTGACTGGGCATGAGGCCATTTCTTTTCTTTTTCTTTTTTTTTTTTTTGAGACGGAGTCTTGCTCTGTTGCTCAGGCTGGAGTGCAGTGGCGTGATCTCAGCTCTCTGCAACCTCCGTCTCCCAGATTCAAGTGATTCTCCTGCCTCACTACAGGTGTGCACCATCACACTTGGCTAATTTTTTGTATTTGTAGTAGAGACAGGGTTTCACCATGTTGGCCAGGCTGGTCTCAAACTCCTGACCTCAGGTGATCCACCTGCCTTGGCCTCCCAAAGTGCTGGGATTACAGGCGTGAGCCACTGCACCCAGCCGAGGCCATTTCTCCTTTGGGGCTGCCATGTATTGTGCTGCTGTGTACATCCTAGGGCATGTTTTTGGTGACTGCGCCCAGTCCTGGGGTCTGTATATCTGGGAGCGGAATGGCTGAGTCCTCTGTACTTGACATCCAGCATGGGGCTGGAGAGGAGCCACTGGCCCGTGTTTATTGAGCATGGATTCCCAGCCAAACCCTGTGCAGGGCTCCCAGCTGTCTGCCACCGCCGAGAGCCACCTTGGCTCACTGTTTCTCTAATGAGGGTGTGACCCTGAGTCAGGCCCCTGGGACGGAGCAGCATAATTTATAACACGATATTGACACATTTAAGGGAATACTGCTCCAAACAGCGGGCTCTTTCCGAATGATTAAAAGCCATGGGAAGCAGGGATGCTTGAGCAAAGATTAAGAAATCAAAACCTGTGCTCTTCTGAGTGGGCTCAGCTCTGGGGAAAGTGGGCTGTACCTGGGGCTGGACCATGGATGCTGGGAAGGGGAGTAGTTGGCCACAAAGGGAAGGGGAGGCATTGGAGGGAAATCCAGAAAGACTGGAGATTAGAGTGCCCCTGGAAGGACAGGTAGAGAGAAAATGGCCAAACATACATGGAATGAGAGAGAACAATAGGAAAAGCCTTAACTTGTTATTACATTTTACCAACCTTTAGCACAGTGCTTGGTTCTTAAGGCAGCAGATGCCCTGCAGAGTGAGCTTAACACAGACAACTGGTCTACCCACTCCCACTGAGTCATATTCTCCAGGTTGGGGCTTAAGGAGCAGACAGTGCAAGCCCCAGCAGTGATTCTGATTTCCAGCCAGGTCTAGAAAACAACTGTTTTAAGGGACCAGTCCCATCAGCCCACCCTAGGTCCCATCAAAAAGGGGCTGAGCTCTCCTGACTCCCAGGCCCCTGACTGTCCTCCTGGTTTCTTTGGCTCTCCCAGTACTGAGTCTGCCGTTCACTCTCAGGGTGATTTTTTAAGTGTGCATCCTGTCTGGCTGCAGCATTAACTCAACTCAGCAGTGAACCTCCATCCTGGCCTGGCTGCCTCTGGCTGCTTTTAAATAACCCCACTTCACTTTGACCTCCCTCTGGTATGTTTTAAGGGACAATATCTCCCTGGACTCGAGGTAAGGAAGCAGTCTTTGCATGCTCATGGGTTCGTGGCAGAGACCTGACTTGACTTTGACCTTTCTCAGCCTTAGGTGCTGCCCCTGTGGAGTGGGAATAATGACACCTAGGTCATCAAGTTCTCATGATTACCAAAGAGGTAACGGGCATGAGATGCTGCACACAGCTCAGCTGACCAGTCAGCTACCCAGAGTAGCCAGAAACAGTATCCAAGGGGGAGTGTAAACCATTTCCATCACCCAGGGCATGTCATAGCAGCCTCCTGCCTGGTGGCCCTGTCTCCAGTCTTGTCCCCTCAAGTCCTTTTCCACACAGCTCACAGAGGAGTCCTTGTAGAACTCTGATCTGACCCAGATCCTTTGTGCACTGCAAACCCCAGGAGCACAGGAACTAGCTGTGAATCCACAGCTTCTCTGGGCTCAGCTGAAAGGTCAGGACTTTACATGGGTTATTTTGTTTCCTGGTTACAACAAACCTATGCAGATGGTATTGTTATTTTCTTTTTTTTTTAATGAGGAAACTGAGGCACTAAGAGGTCAAGAATAAAGCTGGACCTTTTGCCCAAGGCTGACATGAAAGCCCTTATCTGTTCTTTGGTCCTCTCCTGTGTGCCCCTGGCCACTGTGGATGAATTTTTGACAACAGAGGATGTCCCGACAGCTGAAGGTTGAACAGCGCTTCAGGATGGGACCCTCCTGGCCTGGCCAGAGAACATTTTCACATCTCCTGAGGCTTCTGGAGCCCATGTGTTGCATCTGAGATATTGGTTGTTGGTGACTAGGATTAAAGCCGTGGATCACACTTCCATAGAATGCAGCAAGATGCAAACATCCGTCCCCCAGAAGCCGGGGCCCTGATTTGCTTATTTTGCAGCTTGAAACCACCACTTCCTTTGGTAGGCTGGGGAGAGGTTTGAGGGAGGGCAGTGTAGGGCTGGCTAGCCTGGCCCCCGGCTACCTAGGCTGTTCAGCCCCTTGTCTGCCCCTCCTGATGAGGCTTCCTGGGGCACAGTGAAATGTCAGATGAGCTGGGAGCTACCAAGCTGGGTCTCTACCACCCCAGCCCCTCCTTCTAACTTGTGATCTGGAGACTTTGGTTTCCTGAAAAATCACAGAACTTAAAGTTGCCAAAGCCGAAGGTGAGCATCTCGGAGGCATTTAATCATCTAATCCTCACCTTCACCTTGCGGTATTAGGAGACCTGGATTTAGTTCCATCTCCTTGTTTGCCTGGAGGTGAAACCTGAATGTGTCAGACAATCTCCAAGGGTCTCGGTTTTGCCATCTTCAAAATAGAGATAATAAGGCAGAAATGTAGTAAGTACAACTCGAGTGTCAGGTATAGCCATAATATCATTTCTGTCACTAGACCTCTGGGACACCTGACCCTGCAGGGAAGGGGAGGGTCAGGAAATGAAGATGATCAAGATAGGCTTTCAAGAGAGGCAATGCTGGAGCTACATTCTGGAGTCTCCATGGAAATTAGTGGACCACAGAGAGCCAGGATTGCAGGCAAGTGTCTGCTCTCATCCCCCACCCCCAAGCAGATCATGAACTCCTTGAAGGCAGGGAATGTGTGTGTGTGAGGGAATGCATGAAGTGTGTGTGTGTGTGTGTGTGTATTTACTTGTATGCTGACTTGTGTGTGCATAAACACACATATGTGCTCCTTATTCATTTCATATCTATATGCATGTAGCCAATAGGATATTCATATAGGTGCTCAATAAATATTTGTTGAATTGTACTGAAGAAAAGCAGCTCTGTTTTCTAGCTGGTGGAAGGGTGTCCAGCTTTTGGAAGAAATCCACATCAGGTGTGTCCACATGACTACTGGTGCTCTGTGCTGGCTCCTCAGGGACATTAAAATGTCTGTGCCCTGTGTCTGAAAATACTAGGTCTCTGCACTTAAAATCAAGGCATTGGTGCGCATGCATTGGAGGATTACATAAGGCCACTTCCACCTCTCACCTCTGACCCTGTGACGGAAGTAAGGTCAAGGGGGTCTGTGGCCTCCCTCCTGCTGTTGCCTGTAGCATGTGTCCATGATACAGAGTTCAATGGGCGGGTCAAGAGACATCACTGTGGAAAACAAGCAAACAAAAGGCGGACTACCACCTTGTTAGTGTGAAAATGACAAAGAAAGCTGTATTTCTCAGGGTGGGAGGCCACGTGGGTTCGCAGGCATTGGCGCTAAGACTTGCCCCTGCCAGATGCATCTTTTGAGATGGGAATTTTAATCTATCAGTATTGATGGGCCTTTGGAAAGAAGGTGCTAGAGTGTTGCCATAAAGTTCATCCTTGTGTGTGCTTTAGAGTGAATGCTATCGGTATGTCATCCCGCCATATAGGTGGACCTGGAATTTTTCAAAAATTTAATCTCAAAAGCATTGTTTTATTTTATGCTAGTTTATTCTATTGTATTGATTTGATTCTATTCTATTTTATGCACCAACACGCATAAAACAGTTCTAGAACGGATTAAAGTTTGCTATGGCAAGATAAACTAAATGTGAACTCAATGACAGAGATAAAAGAAAAATGAGAGTGAAGACACAAAAATAAGCCAGAAACAAGATGCATCTTCAAATAAATGATAGACCATTCTATATAGATGCTTACTCTGGTGAACTATAAACAGGACTCTGAGCTTCTAGGAAGGTATTAGGATAAGGAAAACCTAGTCAGTTATACTGTCCCAGTTATCATCAAACAAACCTATTGATCAGGACAAGCAAACTATGTCTGATACTGAGACCTGAGGGGAATTTCCTCTAAGCCCTTTGGGAAGAAGACCCAGTGTGGTAAAGAACAACCTCCCTAGAAAAATCCTTACAGAAAGTCCAACCTTGCATTAAATGGTTCTGTCCACTGAGCGAATATTCAGCATAGGCCTTCCTCAACACACAGTTCAGAGAGACAGGTTATGACTCAGATGCCCAGATCTGCCACTCCTACAATTGTGTCAGTCCATTTAGCACAGGGATTCTTGTGTCAGGGCTGAAACTATATGCAGTTATTTTAAAACTGGTGTTCAGTTATGTCATACATGTCTTACACTTTAAATTTTTAAGGACAAATGGTCTTGTTTGAGTTTTGAAAGCTCTGACAGTTGGATCCAACTCACTCAAGCTAGGCGAGATGGTCAGACCCATAAAGTGAAGAGCCACATGGGTCTAGTGTACTGCAATGCCTACCATGCCTAGTCTTGCATCTGGCACACAGTAGGTGCTCATGGTACTTGTTTGTTGAATGAAGGGCTAGGGATATGGATTGAATAGTAGTTTGATGAACAAATTAATAACTAATTAAAGAAAAGAATTAATTAATCCAGGTGCATTAAGATAGTCATAGTGGACAACTGCTGAACCTTTTCCATCATGTGAAGAGTTTAAATGATGAGGCAATGTCTTGCATTCAGAAAGGACTGGATCTTAGGTAATAGTCCAGCCTATCCTCCGCCACCCTCATTTTAATATACAACTAGTATATTTCACGTGCGGGGAGCTTGAAACCCCTCTCATTTCACCCCTTGGAGAGAGGACCCTGGTCTCATTATTATCTAGAATCCAAGAGTTGCTTCCTTGCCCTGAATGAGAAGGATTCCCACCATCTCAGCCACTGACCCCTCAAAATGGCCCTCAGTCCCCATTAGCTTCTGGGTTTGTCCCAACACACACTGAATCAGGAGCAACCTTTGATCTGCCCGAACCTTCAGAACTGTGGAACTAATAGGGGCAATAGGACTTGCTTGAGGTTCTTCCCAGAGATGTCCTAACCTTGCTGTCCCACCTCCTTTTCCCTCCTTCCCATAAGGTATTTCACAATGCTTTGAGAATGAACAGGTTTTGAAAATTGTGCTGCATACATTTACTTTGCCCAGGGAATGACACATCTGGGCTCCAGATGTTTTTCAGTCCTGCAGAGTGGTAGCCAATTTCAGGTGGTTGTAGGCAGAGCTCAGACTAAACACAAGGGTGCAGACAGCCATGCATAAAGGCACATTTGAGATCCCTCTGTGGCTTTTGCCACTGTTTTTTTCTCCATCTGGGATGCCCCTTGAGCTACTTGGTGTCTCTCTTCTAAGAGACATCACTAACACACCCCCTGTTAGGGCACGAGGGTCTTTGGTACAGTGAAGAGGTGCCCAGGGATTGAATCCCAGCTCAGCTCTGTGATCTCAGGTGAATTATCTGCCCTCTCTGCATCTCGGTGTCCACATCTGTAAAAGAAAGTGAATGGTCTCCACTTTATAGGGCTGTTGTGAGGGTTATAGAGCTAATGCTTGTAAAATGCTTAGGACAGTGCCTGGCAGATACTAAGCACTAAGTAGGTGTTTGCCGTTATTATTCCTAGTTTCCTTCTTCTCTGGAGATCACTGTGGAATTAGAATTTGTTCCCTGTCCCTTAATTGGTTATTATCATTTCACCTTAGCCCTATGTGACCATTTTTATCCTAATGTCTCCCCAGAGCCTAATAATGATGGTGATGATCGTGCTGAAATGTATTGAGACCCTTCTCTGTGCCAGACACTGTGAAAAGCACTTGACATTATAGCCTGTAGGAGAGTCTATAGTTTGGCTCAATTCCTGACACAGAGTTTAGTGCATACAATAATTCTTTGATGTAGGCACTATGATTAGCCCCACTTTCAGCTAAGGAAAAGAAGGCTTAGGGAGGAACTGAGAAAGCAAATCATATCCAGGACTTGGTCCAGGATAGCCAGCCTCAGATCCCATGTTCTCAACCACTACCCAGAGATTGAGAAATAACACAACCAAATAGAAAACTCCTGGCATGGCATACAGCCAGAACATATAGTGGCACATGCTATAGGGTTTGGGTTACAGACTACTGAAGGATGTGGACTTTGAGCCAGGCCTTAAAAAGGATGGACAGTAGGATAGGGAAAGGCATTCCAGGTAGAAGGAATGGCATGAACAAAGATATAGAGGCTAAAAACCCAGAGAATGTTTAAGCACAGAAGTAGTTAGCATTAGCTAAAGTATAGGTAGGTATGTGGAAGGCTAAAATAGCACCTGATTGTGGAGGGCATTGCATGACCCAAAAAAAAAAATGTTATCCTATAGGAAACAGGGAGCTGTGGAATGCTTTTGAGTAGGGAAGAGCATGCCCACAGCTGTGATCTAGAAAGATTAGCTTGGCAGAGGAATATCAGGTGGAGAGATGGGACATTGGGAGGTCATTGGATTTGATGATGCCTAAACTCATGAGATATTCCCAGTGTTCCAGAAGCAAGACTTGGTGAGGGAGATGATGTGTCCAAAGTCACACAGCTAGTGAAAAGTAGAGCCCAAACTCTAGTCAGATCTTCTGACTCTAAATTCTGTATTCATTCTGCTATACCAAGGAAAGATACAGCTGATCCCGTTATAAGATCTGAAAGAATTAAGCCTGGTGAACTCTGAAGGGTCGTGGCTCTAGTTACAAGGGGTCTGAGGACTCCTCGACATTGTATGCAGAACGATGTGTGTGTGTGTGTGTTTGTCCTGTGAGCATGTGCACAAATGGGATTGGTCATGGGAGATGGCCCACTGCATCCACTTTTTAGTGTCCACAAACACAGTGAAAAACCACTGTAAAACCTCAGGGGTCACACCCAAAGGTGAAGCCCAGAGTTCTGCAGGAACACTGCCTGCATTACAAAACCAACAGTAAAGAGAAGAAAAGAGACAAATTGATTGATAGAGTTCAGTGGGAAGAGGGAAGGGTAGAAGTTAAATAAACACTTGAGGCTTAAGAACCAAGTGTTCTCTGGGCAGTCAGCCTTCTTTAGAGCAGTGGTTCTCGATGACTGGTGATTTTGCTCCCCAGGGGACAAGTGGCAATGTCTAGAGACAATTCTGGTTGTCACAACTGGGGACAGGAATGGTGCTATTGACAACAAATAATTATCGGACTTATGGTATCAATAGTACCAAGGTGGAGAAACCCTGCTTTGGAGGAAAAAGAAGTCTTGACTTCTAGCACAGAGCTGAGCAGAAACACTGGCCTTGTATCTTCAGTGCTCAGCTTCCAGAAGAGGCTGAGGGCTAATGAGCCTCCTGTGGAGTAACAGGCCTATATGTGGTGAGCAGAACCTGGAAGTCTTTATGATTTCCATTAACCCTCAGGAATGGATATAGGCCTGACCCCGGAGGCCCTGCCCAGGGGCTCATTTGGCCTGGTTCCCTCTGAGCACCAGGTTGCATCTCCCCCTGCTTATCTGGAATTTAGGACTTGGGTCACTGGTTGTGGTCCTCTGTGCAAACCAACGGCACAGAGCTGGAGGGACCTGAGAGGCCCTCTTGTCCCCTCCCTACCTATAGCTCACCCCCATATTTAGAGAAGAAGGCATGGAAGCCCAGGGAGGTGAAATGACTTGCCCATGGCTGTGGTTGTGTATCCATGAGGACTCTTCCAGCAAGTGGAAGAAAATCCTACTCCAACTAGATTGAGCCAACTGTTTTCATTCAGTAACCAAAACATCCAGGTTTCACCTTTGACACAGCTGGATCCAGGGACTCGGTTGATGTCACTGGGTCTTGTCTCTGGCCACTTCTTCACTCTGTTCTCTCCCTGGGACATTCTGAGCTGTCTTGGAAGCGAGATGATGGTTGGACTTTCAGGTTTCAACTTCACAGCTTTAATCAAGGGAGAAATCAAGAGTCTCTCTCTCTCTCTCTCTCTCTCTCTCTCTCTCTCTCTCTCTCTTTCTTTCTCCCTCTCAGTGGTCCCTGTGAATGCACCTGTGGGCTCTGAGTTAGGGAATATGTCCATCCCTGATCCAGCCCCTGTTGTTTCGAGGAAGTGATGCCCTGAATGACCAGCCCAAAGCAGAAAGGAGGGTCCACAATGCCTGTGCAGGGAGTGGAGAGGGGTGGTCCTCCAGAGAAAATTGGGGATGCTATTACCAGAAGAAGGGGGAGTAGACACTGGATGGGCCAAAATAACGCATGTCACCCCCTCCAGCTGATGAGTGGCTGGGCTCAGCATAGGTGTCCTGCTATCTAGCCTGTTCCTCCAGCTCTGACACAAGCTGCCTAAGGCAGAACAGCTACCTCCAAAGGATCTACCCATGGTTTTGACTCCTGGCCTGGAGAACAAGAGGTGAAGGAGATAGGGAGAGGATAGTCCAGGGCTAAGACCTGAGACCTGGGAGCCAGCCACCCCAGTGGAGTTCAAGATCTCACTTTGCTCTCTTCATGGCCGGGATTTGGGGCACTGGCTTGGAGTGTGGGAAGGGAATAGGAGCAGGTGACTTGGATTTGGACAGTGACTCAGAGGAAAGAGGACAAGAAGAGCCCTGATCTAGGAGCTGGGAAATGACTTAAAAGCCATTTACTGCCCTCTTCCCACCCTTCCTGCCTTTTTGCCTTCCTTCTAGTAAATATGCATGGGGTGCCCACTCTAGTCTGCCCATGATCCCCTTCCTGCAGCACTGGCGGCCTCTCCTGACATGCCACCTCCTCACTGCCCACTCCAAGCCAAGGAGCAGGTATAGGATATCTCCTCTTCCTGGCTCCATTCAGAGCTTGCTTTGATGCTTGCTTGCCTTCCTCCCTTCCTTCCTTCCTTCCTTCTCTCTCTTTTTTTTTCTTTCTTTCTTTCTTTTTCTTTCTTTCTTTCTTTTCTTCTCTTGTTCTCTCTCTCTTTCTTTCTTCTTTTCTTCTCTCGTTCTCTCTCTCTCTCTTTCTTCTTCTTTCTTTCTTTCTTTCTTTCTTTCTTTCTTTCTTTCTTTCTTTCTTTCTTTCTTTCTTTCTTTCTTTCTTTCCTTCCTTCCTTCCTTCCTTCTTTCCTTCTTTCCTTCTTTCTTTCTTTTTTCCAAACACAGGATCTCACTCTGTCACCAGGCTGGAGTACAGTGATGTGATCACAGCCCAGCTCACTGCAGCCTTAACCTCCTAGGCTTGAGTGATCCTCCCATCTCAGCCTCTGGAGCAGCTAGGACTATAGGCATGCACCATCACGCCCCACTAATTTTGAAGGGAATGCTGGGAGGAGGTTTTGGAGAGATGGGATTTTGCCATGTTGTCCAGGCTGGTCTCAAACTCTTGGACTCAAGCGATCTGCTTGCCTCAGCCTCCCAAAGTGCTGGGATTGCCAGGCATGAGCCACCGTGCCCAGCCCCTTGATGCTTATTTTTATCCTTAGTTTTCCTGTAGGGAATATTGGGGGAGTGGGTCCCACCAGCATGATTTCTTTGGTCCCTGCTCTTCCCTGGGGACTGATGGGTACTTAGACCCTCTGACATTGCAGACGCTCCCTGCCTGTGGCAAATCACCCTGCCAGATGCCAGTCCCCCAGCCTTTTTCCCTTCAGTCCCCTCCCCTTCCCCACCAGGTCATGTGCAGCTCCCTGAGTGGCATCAGCTAGAGGCAGAATTAACTTGGTTGATCTGATTCCCAAATGCTTGCCTGAAGCACTTTCCAGATGTAGAGGAGATGACATTAGCTAGGTGGTCCATGCTGTTTATTTATTTATTTTTTTAGAGACAGTTCTCACTCTGTCACCCAGGCTGGAGCCCAGTAGCACAATCATAGCTCACTGCAGCCTCAAACTCCTGGGTTCAAGCAGTCCTTCCACCTTAGCCTCCCATGTAGCTGGGACTACAAGCACATGCCAGTATGCTTGGCTAATTTTTTTAAAAAAGTTTTTGTAGAGATGGGGTCTCACTGTGTTGTCCACACTCGTCTTGAACTCCTGGCCTCAAGTGATCCTCCCACCTTGGCCTTACAAAATGCTGAGATTACAGGCAGGAGCCATCATGCTCAGCCAGGCTGTTTATTTTTAATCCATTCCAATCCACGAATCAGATGTGCCTGTGCCTCATAAAGAAGTGTCTGTAAGTCCTTTGGTGGCTGTCCATTGAGTGCCATCCTAGGTGCTAGGGATGGAGAAGGAAACACAACGACAAACATCCCTGTCTTTGTAGAGCTGACCATGAACATATATTAAGTGAAATAGATAGTCTACCAGCTGGGAAAAGCTAGGTGGAGAAAAGCAAAGCAGTTCTGGTTATTGGGAGAACCAGGGGCCAAAGCTGCAGCTTCAAACGGGTGTCCCAAAGCCTCTGAAAAGGTGGCATTTGTACACGCTGAAGGAGGTGAGTGAGTGAGCCTGTGGTGTCTGGAGAGATGGCTCCAGGCAGAGGGATGAGTAGGTGTAACTGCCCCAGGGCAAGTTAAAGTAGGAGTTCAAAGAACAAGTTCAAAGAATAATAAAGTGACTAGGATGCGTCAGGCAGAGTAAGCCAGGAGGAAAAGAGAAAGTGAGTCCCAGGGGTGAATGGGTCCCTTGCAGGCATTGTAAGGACTTTGTACTTTATTCCTAGTGGGATGGGGCATTGGAGTGTTTTGAGCAGAGGAGGGATCTGATCTGACTTTTTTTTTTTTTTTAATAGAATCACTCTGGTTGTTGCATTGAGAATAGACCCTGGTGAGGGTGGGGCAAGGACCAGAGCAGGGAAACCGCTCAAGACTGTGTCAATAATCTCAGTCAGCAATGAAGGTAGCAGATGAAGTTGTCAGGACCAGGTGCTACTTCTGTGGGTATTGAGAAGCAGTTGGGCTCTGCGCTTATTCTGGAGAAAGAGGCAACAGGATTTGCTGATGGATTAGATGTGGGATGTAAAGGCTGACTTCAGGGTTTTTGGCCTGAGCCCTGGAAGGAAGAAGGTGTTAAAGGAACAGGTTTGGGGACAGGGCAGAGATCAGCAGGTCAGTGTGGGATGTGCTATGTCTGCAATGCCCATTGGACAGTAAGTGATGATGTCCAGTAGATGTCCACTGAGATGGAGAGACTATGGAAGGAAAGAGACCTCCACATATGTTCTATCTTTCCATGCATGTAAGAACCATAAGCTGATAGATTACATTATCTACCCATTTTAGAGATGAAGAAACTGAGCATTTTAGGGGTAAATAATGGGCCAAAGCTCACAGGATGCATATGTGGCAAAACAGAATTCAAACCTCAACCCCTATGATTCCAAATTCATTGCTTCTTTCCTCTCCGTCTTGTTGATTCCTCAGTTTTTCAGGAGATTAAAAAAACTAATGGAAAATTGTTAACCAGTGAAAGTTGTCATTGTCCTCCTGAGCTAAGAAAAGAGAACCCCTGCCTGCACCTCAGGACCCCTATCCTTCCCTTGTTCCTGCTGTGTCCTAGGCAGTTTGGGTTGTAAGTGACAATCACATGGGTACTACCTCATGCAGATATTCTTACTTTAATTCCTTCTTCTTCTGACTCTTGGCCCTTTGCTTCTTGAGATGGAAGCTTTTTTTGTGACTCTGGGTCTGTTTGTGTGTGTCTCTCTGTATGTGTTTACACAGTGAAGGCTCAAGCAATGAAAATAGCAGAAGGCTTGACCTTCTGAAATGAATAACCCCAACCTTGTAAATAAATCAACCACTCTACCAGACCAAAAAAGATAATACCTGTAGGGCAATAAATGGGATCATTGTTTTTTGATTTCTTCTTTTTTATGTTCTCTTGACACACAACATAACTTTCTCTTTTGAAAGCAATGTTCTAAGATTGCAACAAACTGTAGTTGAAATTATTTTAGTGAAAGAAAATAATGTCTTAGGGTCATCTAAAGAAATGACTTCATATATCTATTTTACTCTCTTAAATGTTTCTCCCAGTCATGCTGAAGTGGCAAAGATTTTTCTGATTCCAAGTTCCTGCTAACGAAATACATTAACTGTAGAGAGCAGAGATATCTGAGTCTAGTGCAAGCAAAACAAACTGGTTAGGAGAGCTGTACAGATAAAGATAAACAAGATTCTTGGATTCCCAATAATGTGCTTGACCTTATTATTTGGTGCTGTGGTTTGGATGGTGAAAACTCATGGTGAAATTTGGTCCCCAGTGTGACAGTGTTGGGAGCTGAGGACTAGTGGGAGGTGTTTGGGTCATGGGGGCAGATCCCTCATGAATAAACCAATGCCCTTCTGCAGGGGCAGGGGAGTTCTTACTGTCTTGGGACTAGATTAGTTTCTTTGAGCCCCATTAATCTTGAGGGACATGTTCAGACCTAGTTCTGTGATAAACCTATATTTGTGTTCCCTTAACCTTCTAACTCACAGGTTGGCAAACATTAGCCTGAGTGCCTTTTCTGTAAATAAAGTTTTATTGGAACACAGCCACACCTATTCACCAGCAGAATTGAGTAGTTGCTACAAAGAGTATATGGCCCACAAAACTGAAAATATTTATTATCTGGCCCTTTATAGAAAAAGTTGGCTGTTTTTCACAAATACCACAGACACACGATTCTGTCTAGCAAACTCCTAGGCAGCTACAAGGCCTAACTAGAGTATTCTTTCTCCCTTCCAAGTATTAATCAGGCCCAGCCCTGCTTAGCTTCCAAAATCAGACAATATTGGGCATGTTCAGGGTGGTATGGCTGTACACTAGAGTATTCTTTCTCCTGAGAGACCTTCTAGTAGCTACCCAAGCCCAAGGCAAAGCTAACCACATCCTCCTCGGGACCTCCAAGGGGCTCTTAATAGCCAAAAAAAAAAAAAAAAAAAAATCACTGATGTTCATAGAATACAGTATTCTAGACACTGTTTTAAGCATGTCACAGAGATTAATAATTTAACCATCACAGCAACCCTAAGTGGTAGGTATTTTTATCATTATCATTTTACAAATGAGGAGATCAAGGCAGAGAGAGATTACATAACTTTCTTACAGTCACACAGCTGGTAAATAAGTGAGCTGGGGTTTGAACCCAGGTAGTCTGGCAGTCCATTCACCATTTGGCTGCCATAGGCCCTGTCATTATCCCCATTATACAGATGGGAAACAGACTACACAGCATGTATTCTATTGTGTTCTAAGAGAATCCATGTCTGTCCCCAGTTTTTCCTTGAGAACAGAGGTACCCTTCCTCTCCCCACACCCTAGTGCCCAATGCATAGAGATGCTCAGACACACAGAGAAGGGGTCACCTTCTTGACCATGAGCTTTTAGAGACCAGAGAAGTCGTCTGTTCATCATTGGGTCCTCAGTGCCTAGCCCTGTTCCTGCCTCAAAGAAGTTGGGCTCAGCAAGTGGGTCAAGAAGGGAGGAAGTTTTCTGAAAATAGGAAGCCCTCCATTTTTGGCTCACCTGTGCCCTTTCTTCTTTCTAAGCTTACGGGGTTGGAGGTCTAGTTCCTTTCTACACTGTATTGGCTGCTGAGACACAAGGTCTCTGTCTGCTGGGCTCTCACTAGGAAAAGGTCAGCCAAACCTCAGTGCCAGAGTCTATTTACCTTGGCTAGGAGGTGTTCCTTGGGGAAGGAAAGGACATTACCTGCTACACTCACTGGTGTTTAATGTGACTTGGCTGCCTTTTCAAAAGCTTCCATGATTCCACTTAAGGAGGAGTAAATCAGCACAAATTCTGCCAGCACCAGGAAATATATCAGCCAATGGAATTTTACCTCCTTCTACTCCAGTAGGGTTGATCTTCAAGGAAACCTATTTATCGACAAAGACCCCAACTATATTTTTGCACACACAAACAAGGACCATAAAGAATCATTGCCAGAAAGACCGTTGGGAGTCAACTGATGCGTTAGAAAGGAAGGACACTGGAAAAAAAGTTAGCAAAATACAAATGACATTTGATCACCATCAACTGAGTATTTGAGCAGCATCCAAGGGGTGACATTGGCAACAAGGGTGACATGACAGTGTTCAGAGGAAAGGGGGCCCGCTTTCAGGTTGGCTGGGTCAGGGCAGAAAGACTTTTGGGGGAAATAAGATGAAAGCTATGGGGGAGGGGTGGGCTCTCAGTGTGGGAAACGGTGTTTACAAAGGTGCACAGGTGGGAGGGTGGAAGTTGTGGTTCAGGTACAAGAGTACCTTCAAGGAGGGATGGCTGTGATGGTACAGCTAGAAACTGGGTAGCAGATTCAGTGGGTACCGAGCAGTCAAGAGTCTGGGTATCAGAGTCAGACCTGGGCTCAGTTTTCAACCATCCACTTTGCTAGCTGTATACCATTAGCTGGCAACCTAAATCTCTTCGTGCCTGGTGGGTGGTGGAAATGTTCTGTGACTCAGTTGGGGTCATAGTTATAAAAGTTGTTCATTTGTCAAAACTCTTCAAGCAGTATACTTTAAATGGATGTTTTATTTTATATGAATTATATCTCAGTAAAGTTGCTTTCAAAAGAAAAAAAAGTGTGCCCAGATTTCTTTATCTGAATGGCAGAATAATAATATCTACCTCATTGGAAAGGTGTAAGGAGTGACCAAGAAATGCTTGTAAAGTGTTTAACCCAATACTTGGCTCATTATAAACTATGATTACTATCGTTGTGTTACATTGCATAGAACCTCATAAGCCATCACTAAACACTTTGAACTTTTGTCTGATAGGCACAGGGAGCCATTGAAGATTTCTGAGCAAGGAAGCAATCAAAACTTTTTAAAAATTGCAATTATATGTATATATATATAAAATATTATATATTATAAAATTTACCATTTTAACAATTTTTAAGTATAGTTTAGTGGCATTTGGTACATTCATATCATTGTGCAACCATCACCACCATCTAAAACTTTGTTCTGAAGAGAGGAATTGGGCAGGATAACCAAGAGGAGAGAAAAGCTCAAAAAGACCGTTGGAATGCTATTTAGAACAGTGTGTGTAGATGTTGAAGGCCTGAGTCAGGATGAATTTACAGGAATTGAAGAAACATAAAAGAGAACTTACGAAAGAAGCAACCATCAGCACTGGCAATTGATTGAAATTTAATTATGAGAAAGAAAGGAAGAAGTCACAAAGATGACCAAAAAGGAGTACAAAGGCATCTCAAGCTCTCTTGTTAATATTAATACTTTTCTTCACATGTTATTTGGCTTAAGATTCTGGCAGTCCTGTAAAATAAAAACATTCGTACTGATAATAGTGCTGATGAAGGTGTGGTAAGATTGGCACTTAAGTATGTTATTGTGGACACAACCTTTAGAAAACGAATATAGCAATATATGTCAAAGGCCATTTAAAAAACAAATCTTGGCTGGGCACGGTGGCTCACACCTGTAATCCCAGGACTTTGGGAGGCCAAGGCAGGCGGATCACTTGAGCTCAGGAGTTTGAAACCAGCCTGACCAACATCGTGAAACCCCATCTCTACTAAAAATACAAAACCAGCCGGGCGTGGTGGTGCATGCCTGTAATCCCAGATACTTGGGAGGCTGAGGCAGGAGAATCACTCGAACCTGGGAGGCAGAGGTTGCAGTGAGCCAAGTTTGCACCATTGCTCTCCAGCCTGGGTGACGAGCAAAACTCCATCTCACAAAAACAAACAAACAAACAAACAAACAAACAAAACGATTCTTACTCTGATCCCATGCTTCAATTTTCAGGGATCTAGCTATCAGAATAGTACAGAATTCACAGAAGCCATGTGTGTGTTGATATCCATGGACCTCAGGTGTTTTTATGATAGTCCCAAAGTGGAAGCAACCTAAATGTCCCCAACGAATGGAATAGTTTGATAAAATGTGACACTTCTACTAAATGAAACTTTAAACATTGTCTTTTTTTGTTTTTTTTAGAGACAGGGTCTTGCTCTGTCAGTCAGGCTGAAGTGCAGTGTTACCATTATGGCTCACTGCAGCCTTGAACTCCTGGGCTCAAGCGACCCTCAGCCTCCCAAAGTGGTTGGGATTACAGGCATGAGCCACCATGCATGGCCAAACAAACAAACAAACAAACAAAAACATAAAGATGTGTTACAAGACTCCTTTACATAGGGAGGTGCCCTGAGGGATTTAAAATATAGTTAGAAAAAAAAATACATTTTTATGCAACAATTAGGGAATAATAGGCCCATTACAAAAGTGAGCTCCACTCATAGGTGGATCTCTGTCCACAGACTAATTATATCTTTCTCCAGGTGCCTTGACATGACTGAGAGAGCAACCCCCAATTCAAATGAATGTGCACTGGCTGTTGTTTAGTTCCACTCCACCGCCCAGGTTCCTGAAGGCGGGGCTGCTTGAGGAGACTGTGGGTTTGCACTTGCACATAGTCCTGGTCCCTACGGTCAGCAGGGCACATATCATGGGCAAGGAGCAGATGGTGACAATCTGGTCCTGGTCAACAGCTCAACTGCCATCATTGTGACTGGAAATATCCCCTGCAATGGATTGGAGAGGGCATCTTCTATGCACTTTAATAAGAATATTATTCCACCTGGACTGGGGGAGTTGAAACAGATGGTGGCATAGTACTGCCTCTGGACTTCTTAGGCTGTAGGATCAGAAATGATAGTGGTGGGGAGAGAGGGATGTGGATATTTACCAGGTGAGAGCCAACCCAGGAAGCTCTCTCTCATGCCCCTAGGAATCCGACTGGAACAAATGTTCATAGGAGTTAACTGCAAAATAAAAACAACCCTGTCTCCTGGTGCATTTAAATGTATAATGCATTTTTATTTTCTTCATCTCATTACTGCAGTCCTGTGACAGAGGCCAGGCAGGTAGTGTTGGTCTTGCTTCACAGAAGGAGTAACCAAGTCATAGTGGGGCAGAGCAATTTGCTTCTCCATCTATAACAGAGGATCAGATGAGAAAGGGTGCTGGATGTGTTAGCCATATGCAGTGCTTCCAGGCCTGGCTCAGAGCTTTTAAATGATTGTCTCACTTAATTCAGTCTTCACAACCATCCTGAGCCATTGAGAGCCCCTTCCGTAGATGAGAAAAGAGGCTCAGAGAGGTTGAATTGTTAGCTAGGACCAAAGGGCTTATGAGGGGCAGAGCTGGGATTAGAACTCAGATCTGCCAGACTCCAAAGCCATATGGGGGCCACACCTTCCCAGGAGTCATGGTGTGCATAATAATGACTATACATCTGAGTAGGTGGGCCTCTGTGGCTGAGGAATCAGCCTGTCTCCAAGACCAAGGATACAGAGACCAGCTCTCCAAGATCCATTCATTCATCTGTTCATCTGTTCTTCCATCAGCCAAGTGAATGGCTCCTTCGCCCTGAGCCTTGGCACCTCAGTTGTCCTGTTGCTGTGATAGCAGTCCCCACATGCCCAGCCTTCACACCCTGTTCCCCAGGCCTGCTCACACCATCAGTAGATAAGAGGGAACATGGTACCAGAAGTGTGTCATTTCCTTTTAAACGCATTCATTCTTTCACTGGGAAGTCATTCATTTATTTATTCAACAGACATAGCCAGCCCTTCCCTTCATACCAGGCCTTGTGCTAAAAACTGGGGCTGCAAAGGAAGGAAATTCAGTGCTAGCCCTGGCAGAAAGCAGTCCAGTGTGAAGGAAGGACGGGTTAACAACCATGAGCCATTTTCATTCAAGAACTGGATGGCTCATGCCTGTAATCCCAGCACTTTGGGGGTCCGAGATAGGCAGATCACTGGAGGCCAGGAGTTTGAGACCAGCCTGGCCAACATGATGAAACCCTGTCTCTACTAAAAACACAAAAATTAACTAGACGTGGTGGCATGCGCCTGTAGTCGCAGCTACCCAGGAGGTTGAGGCACAAAATTTGATTGAACTTGGTAGGCAGAGGTTGCAGTGAGCGGAGATCACGTCACCGCACTCCAGCCTGGGCAACAGAGTGAGACTCTGTCTCAAAAAAAAAAAAAAAAAAAACCCGGTTGAACCCAGGCGTCAGCCTGTTGGGATCCAGGAAGTTTGAGGAGAAGATTATAAAAGGGAGTGATTGTCTGGGACTTTTTTTCTGTAGAGAAAGAGGTTTAGTCAGAGGGCTGCTGAGCAAGGAGAGGAGAGGAAACCTCTAGTCCATCTCCCCAGGAGATGGCTAGGGCTTTTAAGGGTTTTGGAGTGAGCTAAAGTGTGGAGATCGTGTTGATTGGCTGAAGAATGCAGGGTGAAGTCGTGGGAGAGGGAGATGAAGAAACTGCAGCCTCACGCTGATTCGCTTCCTCTGAGGAGACTTTATAGAATGGTGTTTCTGAAGCCCAGTGACCTTGGATGAGAACTTAGATATCTGAGAGTGGAAGGAATTCCCGCCCACCCGGTCCCGGGCCTGTCAGGCTTCGTGTTCACCTCCACTGACTGGAACCCCCTAATAATGATAATGTCTTGACCATTTTCACATCTGAAAAATTGGGGGTGATGCTGCTCCCCAGGCGCTTGCCACACCCCTCTGTGCTAGGCACTGTTCCTCTCTCCATCTCGCAGGTAGATCAGAGAGACCTGCGTTCTTGCCCAAGACCCCTCGGGAAGGCAGAGAAGATAGCAGGATGTGCACTTGGCATTTCTGGGCTCCAAAGCTAGCACCTTTCCTGCCATACTCACAGGCTTCTCATAATGCCAGTGGCAAGGGCACTTTTCCCACAATCCTATAGTCACTTTGGCCACACCCCCAGTCCCTCCCACTTCTGCTTCTGTGTCCCCTTCACCTCCTTGTCATCTCTGTAGCCTCCTTCATAGACACTTCTGTCTCCCCTGCAGAATGAGTTAACGGCCGCTGTGGGAGGTCTGCCCTGTCCTTCCAGAGGAGGCCAAATCAACCACATTTAACCCAACCAGAAAAAACAAAAAAACAGTGTCTCAGTGAAAGCCAGCATGTTTAGGGGACAGCCACAGGGAAAAACCTAGTGCCACTTGTCTGCCTGTTTATGAGCTTTGTGCCCTTGAGCAGCCACTTGCCTTCCCAGAGATAAACTGCCTTGCCCTGCAGCTTCTGGTGCTGGGTGAGCTGAGGGCAGGGAAGAACTTTGTACTAGCAGTGCCACCAGCCTCAGTGTTTAGTAGGTATTGGTGCTGCTGTTAGGACCAGAATGACACTAGGAAAACAGGAAGCACATTAACCTCCGGGGCAAAAGAGCAGAACGAAGCTTCCCCAGGGCCAAGCCACAGAGAAAAGAAAAAAAAAAAAAGTCTCTTCCTTGATAGAAAATAGAGGGGAGAAGAGTAAGTGAAAGCCCAAAGGCATCACCTGGGGACCGAGGGAGCACTGGGGGGCCTCCCCACTCAGGGTCCTTGCAGGGAAGCATGGGCAAGAAAAACCAAGAGTAGGTAAGTCTCTTTCTGCCAAGCAAGCTCTGTCCCTGTCCCTTCACTGTCATGGGCCAGAGGAGAGCAGAGGACAGCCTTGATGTGCAATGTGGAGGTGCTCTCTGGGGCAGGGCATACCTTCTGTGCAAATCAGGCCCAGGCATGAAGACAGACCCTCTGACAGCACTTGCAGGCAACGTTTTCCCAGCAAACGGAGCTTGCATCTATCCAAAAAGCAGCCCCATGTGTTAGAACCTTCTCTCAGCCTCAGAGGCCGGCCCCTCTTTCACGGGAAAGAAAAGGGCCTGGCATTTCTTGAGGACCCATTTTGTGCTTGGTATCTTTATGTAGGTGCTATTGTTTGAATTGTGTACCTGCCAAAATTCATATGGTGAGGTCCTAACCCCCAGTACCTGAGAAAGTGACCTTGTTTGGAGCTAGGTTCATAGTGGATGGAACTAGTGAAGATGAGGTCATCCTGGATAGTGTGGGCTCCTAATCCAACTGATGTCCTCATGAAAAAGGTGAAATTTGGACACTGACACACACTTAAGAACACCATGAACATGAAGGCGGAGATGAGGAGGATGCTTCTACAATACAACCAGGAAATGCGAAGCATTGCCAGCAAAACCCTAGGAGCTGGCAGAGAAGCCTGGAGCAGATTCCTTCTCACAGTCCCTAGGAGGAGCCAACTCTGCAACACCTTGAGTGTGGTGTCTAGCTTCCAGAACTAGGAGACAAGAAATGTCTGTTGTTTAAGCCAGTAAGTGTAGAACTTTGTTATGACAGTGCTTGGAAGCTAATGCAGTATATTACCTTCTTAGACCTAACAGCACTACACAGGGAGGTATTAGGATACTCACTTTACAAAAATAGGAATTGAGCTCAGAGACGGCAAGTGAGAAAAGAACGTGGGTAAGAGCCCAGCTTTGCTCAGCTTTCCAGGCTCATGGAGAGTGAAGAATTCATATGAGCATTGGATCCTGAGTCTTGGTTGGAAGTCAAGGAGATCTGAGAAGCACTGTGGGGCTCCCAGGTCAGCAGTTGGCAAGCTAGGATCTGGGCCTATGAAATGAGCCTGCTGAGTCCCTCACCCCACCCACGGTAAAAGGGGCTCTGACAGAAGAGCCGGGACCTTCCCAGATGATCCTGGGCTGAGTCTGCTGGTCAGGGATCTGGGAAGGCAGGAATAAGGAGGTAGGAGCTGGTCAGGAATCAAAGGGACTCCCTTCATGAGCTGACCAAAGGCCAGGGCTGTTTTGCACATGGCCCAGGGTAGAAGGCCTCTCCCAGCCTAGACCGGGTATGGCCAGGGAGCCAAATGGCCCAGAGATAAGACTTAGCCTCACAGGTGCCAGGAGCCAAAAGGTCACGGGAGTTTCTGTAAGAGCCTAAGCAACCCTGCCTCTGGCTCTCTTTAATATTCTTCTTCAGGGAGCTTTCGGAGCCTGGGCATCTCCTCCACTGCTCTGGAATACCAGATTATTCCCAACAGGCCTTCCACAGCCCTCGCCACCTCCCTTGGGCTTCAGCAGCTTCCCCAGGTGGCACCTCCCCTTCCTACTGAGGGCTCTGCGCTGCAGCCGCCTGTTCTCCCTCCCCTGTTTCCACAGTTAGGGGAGTTCATCCTCTTACCACAGGGCCCCGAGGATCATTCTTAATCAAAGCACGGCAAGATGGCATTGCAGTCCCCCTGGAGCCTGCAAAACAGGCCTTTTAAACTCTGTCTCCTACCACGGGACTGTGGGGGATGCAGGTGAGCTGTCACTAAGAGAGCCAGGGAAATGCAGGTATAGGGAGAAGTGGCTGTTGCTTCTCAGCAACCAGGGGAAGGTAGGGGGTGGCCAGGACGCCCAGCGCCCAAGGAGTCCTCTCCGGTGCTTATAGACTGAGGCTCATCCACCCCAACAGTATCCTCAGGAACGCCATGCCCTCTCCCTTGGTAGTGGGGAATGGGGAGTGGAAAAAAGACATGACTTGCAGCTGGAGTCGTTACATTTGGCCTTAGCATCGTCTCCTGCCAGGCCACTTAGCCAGTGTCCAGCCTGTTGGGGGAAGCCAGGCCTACCTGCACGGGCTCAGCCACGCTCTGGTGTTCCCGCGTTCGTGTGCTCTGCAGGCAGAACAGACTTGAGGCAGGCAGCAGTGGGGCTTGGGCCAGATTGTCCCCCAAGCCCCAGCGGGGATGGCCCGGCAGGCCAGTCCCAGCTGGAGGGAGGCCTGCAGAGGGGGCTCCTAGCTGCCACTGTGTGCTGTTCATAGTCCCTGGATTGGGTATGATTAGAACCAGTATAGCCATCCTGGGACTCCATCCCTAACGGGGGCCAGAAGGGCATCAGAGAGGCTAGGACTGGCTGCCTCCTTCCATGCCCACCTCCAAGTCACAGCCAAACCCCACAAACACCTCTCAGGGCCTGCCCTCCATGAATACCCCCTGAACTTCAGGGAAGCCCTTCTGTATCTACAGCTGGTATTGCCTCTTGGGGTATGGTGAGGTCCACCTCGTTCCTGGCAGCTTCTCATTGTGCCTAACATAAGCACCCAAGCCCTGGGTCTCAGTGCAGCTTTGCCCAGGTCACATAACTCTTCCCTGCCTCTGTTTTCTTGTCTGTAAAATGGGTATGATAAGAGTAACTACCCCATAGGGTCATAGGGTTATTGCGAGGATTACATGACATAAGATATTAAAGTATTTAGAATGGCACATAGTAAGTACTAAATGAAAGTTAACTGTAGAATGATGAAGATGGTGATGATGATGTCTCAGTCCCCTCAATTCTGCCACTGTTGCTGTTACTACTATTATTGCCCCATGACTGTTAGTGCCATTATTACTATCGCTATCATTTGTGCCGTACTAATACCACTGCTAGGATAAGCACTGCCCTCCAGCGTGTGCATAACAATGTTGGGTTTAGAAAGCTTTCAAGACTTTAATGGCTCCCCATTCATGAATGCAGCGGTCAAGGTTTTTCCTATTCTAGCGCTGCCTGCATCTCACCTCTAACTCCTGCCTTATCTCCAGGTACACCCTGTCTCCCAGCACTCCCACCAGGTGTGCATCCCTCTGCCCCACTTTCTCCCTCAAACCAGACCAGCTCCTTCTTCCTTCATTATTAATCCCCCCTTTAAAAATTACACATTCCTGAAGTCTCGGCTTTCATGTCACCTGTTTGATTAAATCTCCCTTGGAATTCTTTCCATGGGAGAGGGCAGGGGATATAAAGATGCAAAATGAAAAGTCAGTTTTGGTTAGAATCAGGGATTTTGGTGTCCGGGATGGTAGCATAAATGGAGGCAGCAAAGATGACCGATAAAACATTGAGAGCTTGTCTGGGGTTAAGCCAAGCCAGGAGCCTGAAGTGACCAAGTCTGCCTCTGAGTGGCTTAGATGAATTCTGCTAAGCACCTTAGAAGAAGACGAAGAAGCATGGGTTACTGAGCATCTACTGCGTGTCAGGCACTGTTCAGATATGGAGACATACCAACTCATACAATCCTCACCCCAACCCATGAGGTAGATGCTGTTATCATCCCCACTTTACGGAAGAGGAAACTGAGGCACGGAGAGGTTCATTAATTTAGCCAGAGAGTCAATAAGTAACAAAGCTTGTATTTAAACTGGGGCAGCCTGGCTGTAGAGCCCATCTACCTAACCACTGCTCTGTCTTATTGTACCGTGATTATTGTTTCTATTTCAATTTCCCCTCTCCCATCTTTCTTTCATTCTGTTCCACTTACCCTCTAGCCCTAGGTGTGAACTTAAGGTAGTAGGAATCAAGTCATCTCTATTCATTAATTCAGCACATTTTTCATGCCCACCACCTGGAGATATACATTGTGTGAGTATATGGCAAGTACTTTGAACAGTGCCTGGCACATAGTGGGTGTCAGCTCCTACCATCATCGTTACCTCCACCATCATCATCACAACCGCCACCATCACCATCCCCAACTTTATCCTCAATACCACCACCATCACTATCACCACCATCACCATCCCCACCTCTACGCTCACCACCACCACCATCACTATCATCACCACCACCATCCCCAACTTTATCCTCAACACCACCACCATCACTATCACCACCATCACCATCACCACCATCACCATCCCCACCTCTATCCTCAACACCACTGTTATCATCACCATCGCCACCATCATCATCTCTACCATCATCATCATCACCACCATCACCATTATCAACATTATCATCATCACCACCATCACCATCATCACAATTATTACCACCATCATCATCACTGACACCCCCACCACCATCATCATCACCACACCATCCCACCACCATCATCCCACAACCAACAGCATCATCGTCACCACCATCATCATCATCATCACCACCACCATTATCATCATCATCTATATCACCTGCACAGAACCTGACACTAAGAAGGTTTTCAGTAATATTCTGTTGGATGATGGATGATGAGGCATTTCTCGCAATCATTCTCTGTCCTGGGAGGGACAGCTTTTCAGTGTCAGAAAATCGATGTTCTTATTCTCTAAATCCCCAGAGAAGCCATTTTCTGCCCATCTTCTTCTCCTGAGATGGTGGGCACATCCTTCCTTCTCCTGGAAGTGACTCATTGACTCATTCCCACCTCAACTCTCTGACCTCACTGGGAAGGAGTGATTTTTCCCTCCTCCACATGTCAGGACGTGGAGCCTGACCTTGCTGTGTAAGCCCCTCTCCTTTTTTCCCATGTCAGGAGGGCATTGAGTCTGAGGCACATCCTGGAAGCAGAAGACAGGCTCAGAACAAAAACAGAAATGGAAGGTGGTGAGGCACCCTGGGGTGGAGGGCAGCACTGGCCCACAAAGTGATGTCTTCAATGGGCTGAGAGGAAGGAACGCCAACAGCATTTCTGAAAATAAAATGCCAGAAAAAGTGATTCAGATGCAGAGAGGAGTTACAAGGAAGAAAGTTAGGAGAAATGGCATTCTTTGGTCATCTCTTTATTTCTGCATTAAATTCTGGAATTTACCCAGAGGGGAGAAAAGGCAAAGGCCGAGGAAGGTGTCTTGACTGAAAACAGATCCTGAGTTTTAAAGTGAAATTAGATGTCTGGACTTCTAGGAAGATAAGCGATGCTCATTTCAGAATGACACCATCAGGCCCCCCAGCACCCTGAGGAGCCTCGTGAAGCTCAGTCTCATTTCAGAGGATATTCATTTTCTGTGGCTACTGCTAGAACTCACTACTGCAAACTTAGCGTCCTAAGACAACAGAAATTTATTCTCTTACAATGATGTAGGTCAGAAGTCCAAAATGGGTCTCATGGAGCTAAAATTAGAATCCATTTCCATGCCTTTTCCAGCTTCTAGAGGCCACCCACATTCCTTGGCTCATGGACCCATCGTCTTTAAAGCCCACAACGGTCAATTAGGTCTTGTTCTCATGGCATCACTCTGACACTGAATCCCCCACCTCCCTCTTCCAGGTTTAAAGGACCCTTGTGATAACATTGGGCCCACCTAGAAAACCCAGGATACTCTCTGTATCCCAATGTCAGATGATTAGCAGTCTTAATTCCACCCACTACCTTGACTCTCTCTTGCCATGTAACATAGCATATTCAAAGGTTCTGGGGACTAGGACATGGACATCTTTGGGGACCATTATAATGCTGACCATGCCATGTTAGGAACATAGTACTATATTCTGATTCTTTCAAAATTGGTAAATCATTTCTGAAAGTGGCTGGAAGTAGCCATTATCCAGAAATTGAGTTAAACCAAGTCAGTGTGACCTTAGGAGAGTGACTTAGCCTTTCTGGGTCTTTTTCTCAACTCTATGATAAAAGTTTAGCTGTAAACTCTTGGAAGGAGGGACCATTGCCCTCTCATGCCCAGGTCTTGGCACACAGTAGGCACTCAGGAAATGTTAGTGGCTGACTCGGGGGAGCTGGATTTAGCATTGTCCAAGGCTTCCCAGCATTCAAGTCCTGTGATTTCATGACTTACTGGTTCTAAATAACACAGTACAAACTTTCAAAATGGGTAATTACATCTGTGAAGAAATGACCCTGGGCAAAAAGTGTGTCATTTTTCTCGGTAGCACAGTGCTGCGTACTAGAAGGCATTTGATTACACACACAGAGAGACACACAAAGAGGGAAGCTGTGTGTGTGTGTGTGTGTGCGTGTGGTGTGTGCCTGTGTGCAAACTTCAGATTGTAAAAATTCTCACCTAACCAGCAACTGGAGCTCCCTGAACAAAGGCTCTCTAATAAATTAACTCACGAATTTGCCCTGTGTATTCGTCTGTTTTCACACTGCTATAAAGAACTACCTAAGACTGAGTAATTTATGAAGAACATTGTTTAATTGACTCACAGTTTTGCATGGCTGGGGAGGCCTCAGGAAACTTACAATCATGCTGGAAGGTGAAGGCCTTCTTCATATGGCGGCAAGAGGGGGCAGGGGGACTGCCAGACACTTTTTCTTTTCTTTTTTTTTTTTTAAGATAGAATCTCACTCTGTCACCCAGGCTGGAGTGCAGTGGCATGATCTTGGCTCACTACAACCTCTACCTCCCAGGTTCAAGCGATTCTCCTGCCTCAGCCACCCAAGTAGCTGGGACTACGGGCACGCACCACCATTCCCAGCTAATTTTTATATTTTTAGTAGAGACAGGGTTTCCCTATGTTGGCCAGACTGGTCTTGAACTCCTGTCCTCAAGTGATCTACCTGCCTTGTCCTCCCAAAGTGCTGGGATTACAGACATGAGCCACTGGGCCTGGCTGCCAAACACTTTTAAACCATCAGATTTCATGAGAGCTATCCCACTCTCATGAGAACAGCATGGGAGAAACAGCCATGGAGGAAATCACCTCCCACCAGGTCCCTCCCCTGACATGCGGCGATTACAATTTGAGATGAGATTTGTTGGGGACACGGAGCCAAACCATATCACCCTGGTAGGACAAGCTCTATTTATTTGTTGTGGATCCTGCTGCGCTGAGGCCTGGCTCCTCTGCTAAGAGTGACCACTGGTGAGGGAAGAGCCTGCGCCCGCTCCCCAGGACTGGGGTGGCAAGCACCCTGCTGCCCTCTCCCTGGCCCCCCATGACCTCTTCGTTGTCTGGATTGTGCTTCCCCATGCCCACCCCCAGGTTGCCCTCATCTGTTTTCAACCATCTAGTCTCGAGGGTGCTTCCAGGCAACCAAGATAGGCTGCTGCCCTTTGATTCTCTCCTGAGCAGTCTCTCCATTAGTTTGACTGCTGGTCATGATTAGTGCAGCGCCTCACTTGGGTTACAAAGTCTGTTCAAGCCCTAGCTGACACGTGTATCAGCAGTGTGACCTTGGACAAGTCACTAAAGGCTCTGAGCCGGTTACCCCCCACTCTCAACCCCTGCCTTCTACCAGAGTTTCCTCCCTGCCCTGCTCAGGCCACGACTGTGTAAACCAGGGGTCTTCCATCTCATGGCTGCACATGAGAATCCACCTTTTTTTAAAAACAAGCACCCAAGAATGATTCTACTGCAGGCAACAAGCAGACCCCACTCCGAGAAGCTGTGCTCCCACCCGGCCTGGCTACAGTCTTTTGTCACCCGGAAGACTGCAGCCCAGCCTTGTTCACTCTGTGCCCAGATTATTTCTCTTGCCTCTGTTAGAGCCTTTAAGTGGCTCTTCATTAATCTTAGAATAAAATCTAGACTTTTTAACATGCCTTATGAGACCTTTCCTGACTTGGCCCCCGCCTTTCTCTGCAGCGCAAATTCTGAAGCCAAACAGACTAGGTTCTAGTCCTAGCTCTACCTATTGCCGGCTCTGTGACCTTGGGAAAGTAACCTAACCTCTCTGTGCCTCAGTTTCATCATCTGTAAAATGATAACAAATAACAGCAACAATAATAATAATAACAGCAACTGCAGAGGGATGTTGTAAGGATTAGAATGGTTAATGCATGTAAAGCATTAACATTGAATAGTGCTTGGCTCATAGTAAATGCCATATAAAGTCTTAACTCTGGTTTTCATCAGTATTATTATTATCTTGCTGCAACCCTGGATGGATGTGGACATTCCGTAAGACAACCTGCTGTGGGAGAAGAGGTAGGGATCCCAACCATTTGGGGCAGCTTGTTGGAGGAAGTGGCATTCAAGTTGTGCCTTGAAGAACAGGTAGAGATGCTCCCAGTAAAAAAAAAAAACAAGAAAACAAGGGAGGATGGCTGGGCGCGGTGGCTCACATTTGTAATCCCAGCACTTTGGGAGGCCAAGGTGAGTGGATTGCTTGAGGCAGGAGTTCGAGACCTGCCTGGCCAACATAGTGAAACTCCATCTCTACAAAAAAATACAAAAATTAGCCCAGTGTGGTGACATGTGCCTGTAGTCCCAGCTACTTGGGAGGCTGAAGTGGGAGAATCACTTGAACCCGGGAGGCAGAGATTGTAGTGAGCTGAGATCACGTCACTGCACCTCAGCCTGGGTGACAGAGTGAGACTCCATCTCAAAAACAAAAAAAAGAAAGACAGCCTGTTCAAGTGTGAGTTTGCCTGTTCTGGAAAAAAAAATGTCCAGGCACATGTCTGGGATCAAATGAGATAGAGCGTCCATAGGTGGGGAAACACCACGGAGCCCTGAATCATTTGGTTTTGTCTTGTGGTTTTTCTGGTCTGTAATGCGAATGTGATGTGTTGGGGTCAGGCTTGGTGAGGGGAAGCGATGGGGCAGAAACTGTGATTTGAGTCAACTCAGAGGTTCTCAACCTGGAGGTACATTGGAATTACCATGGAGATCATTGAAAAAATGCCACTGCCTGGGTGATGTCCCCAGAAATTTTCACTTAATTGGTCTGGGGTGGGACTGGGCATTGGTACTTTTTTTTTTTTTTTGAGATAGAGTCTTGCTCTGTCACCCAGGCTGGAGTGCAGTGGCACGATCTCAGCTCACTGCAACCTCTGCCTCCTGGGTTCAAGCGATTCTTGTGCCTCGGACTCTGGAGCAGCTGGGATTACAGGTGCATGCCGCCTTGCCTGGCTAATTTTTGTATATTTTTTTTAGTAGAGATGGGGTTTCATCATGTTGGCCAGGCTGGTCTCAAACTCCTGACCTAAAGTGATCTGCCTACCTCAGCCTCCCAACATGCTAAGATTAAAGGTGTGAGCCACCGTGCCCAGCCAGCATTGGTACTTTTTAAAACTCCCCACGTTATTCTCATGCATCCTTAATGGGATCTGAGGCAATATAGCACCACCAGCGTGAAAGATGGTTCTTAAGACCCCCACAAAATGTGGGTATTAGAATGATTTGTGACCCTCAAAACGGCCACAGTACATAAACATATATACAGTGTATTTATAATATTAAAATGTCATGAAGTGGAATGTTTTAAATCGGGGTCCCCAAACCCCAGCCCACAGACTGGTACAGGTCTGTGGCCTGTTAGGAACTGAGCCACACAGGAGAAGGTGAGCAGCGGGCGAGCGAGCATTACCACCTGAGTGCCGCCTCCTGTCCGATCAGTGGCAGCATTAGATTCTCATAGGGGTACAAACCCTACTAGGAAGTGTGCACGCGAGGGATCTAGCTTGTATGATCCTTATGAGAATCTAATGCCTGATGATTTGAGGTGGAACAGTTTCATCCTAAAACCATCCCTGGCCCCACGACCCACCAGTCAGTAGAAAAACTGTCTTCCACAAAACCGGTCCCTGTTGCTAAAAAGGCTGGGGACCGCTATTTTAAATTATAGTGTCTTGACAGAAAATTTGAAGTACAGTAAGGCCAATGGATCAGGAGACAATTACCATTGAAAAGAGTTTGTTACTTACAGTTCCCAAGAGGAGGGGACATGCCAGGCCTTATAGGGTCACATGGGGAAGCACCAGGGTTGGTCAGGGGGCAGAAGGAAACCATGGGCAAGAGCCTTTATTATCGTTTCCGAGGGAAGGAACGGGTGAGGCAGAGAATCCAGGTTTAGGATTAGCTAATTAGAATAATTTCAGCAGGCTCTGAGGCATAGGGACTGCCCCTAGTTGCCTGGTGCCTGGCCCTGGAGAGATTAGAGCAGTTGGATAGTGGCCCAGAGTATGACAGCCCCATAGACATGGTGGCTGGGGTGTGGGCTTTGGATGGGTCAGTTTACATTTGAAAAGTGTGCTTGCTGGCAGGTTGTTTACTGTCCCTAGGAATTGGCTAACCTTGAGTGGGGCCAACCCTGGGGACTGCCCTCCAGGGTCAGCAAGGCCCCAGGTGTCAAAGCATCAGAATACAGACAATAAAAGGCATGGATAAGGCCAGTCGAGGTGGCTCACACCTGTAATCCCAGCATTTTGGGGGGCCGAGGTGGGAGAATCCAGGAGTTTGAGAACAGCCTGGACAACATGATGAGACCCCGTCTATACAAAAAATCAAACATTAGCCAGGTGTGGTGGTTCACGCCTTCAGTCCCAGCTACTCAGGAGGCTGAGGTGGGAGGCTCACTTGAGCCCAGGAGGTCGAGGCTGCACTGAGCTGTGATTGCGCCACTGCCCTCCAGCCTGGGTGATAGAGCAAGACCCTATCTCAAAAAAAAAAAAAAAAAAGAAGAAGAAGAAGAAGAAAGAGAAAAAGAGAACTGGTTAATACAGTGGGGTGGCGGTGGAGAGGAGGGAAGAAAATGTCCAAAAAGGCTTCTTGGGGTGGAAGGGGTGATAATAAAAAGTTGAGAAACATTGAGTTATATCTGGGCTACTTTCATGTAGTTTTTGATGCAACTCCCAGAACAGGTGCTAGGAGAAAGCCTCTCTCCAGAAGCATCCTTATCTTTCTCCTTGGCTGGATAGGGCCCTGCTTCCCCAGCAAGGGCTGTGTGCTCCCTTCCCCAAGGGCTCCTGGCCTTGGGAAAAAGGTGCAGTACCTTTTAACAGCAATGACAAACGAGAATTTAGAGTCCTCCTGTGGTTTATTTTACTCTGTAATCAGCTCCTGAATTTGGCCTAATGGGATTCTAATGTTTTTAAAAGACAATTTAGTAATCTTTGTATTTTTGATGGATTGTGGAAGGCCTATTAGTTCTTTATATCAGTGTGCACATGCATGGCTGCAAATGGTAGATTTATGCTTTTACGTGCCATTAACATCTACACTACGTTAACAGCAGCATTTAGTCAGCTCTCAAAAACATGGCCTAATCTCCTCCATGCCCGTAAACACACACACACACACACCCCTCTCTGTCATTGCGTGTGGTCAGCCACAGGATATTTCAACTTATTAAACATTCTAGTGAATAGTTCCTCACTATATCATATCAAATAAATAATAAGTCTATAGTCACCAGGCTGTTTAATTAAAGATAATCAGTCTTTGAAGACTTAGAATACAATTAAATATACTTAACACGAAGGCTTGGTTGAACATGATTTAATCTTTCCTTTCTTGGGTGACTCAGGATCTTCCAGGCCCTAGGGACTTTCATTATGAATATAAATGATCCTGGTACTCTGCAGAAGTTCCATTGGAAAGGGATTTTCAGTTGGAAGCGTGCCAGATACACCAGTCTCCACTATAGAGGGTATCCTTGCTATTACCTGGAAATGGTTTTGAGACATCCCTGGGACAGGACAAATGTGAATGTTTGTCCTTGGCATAAAATGCTTCTGACAGCTGGTGTGAAGTCTCTCCATTTCTTCCAGCCCCCTTTGATTTCTATAACAGGGAGAAATCCTCAGTGGGGTGCTCACTTGCTATTAACACCTTTCTTTAACACTTAGTAATCTTTATTTTTTACCATGAACTCTACCCAGGACTCATTCATTAACTCAACTTGTGTTTATTAAACAAGTGTCAGTGAGACACAGAAGTGGAGAGCTGGTAACAGGAAGAGGCACAGCTACATTTATTTCAGGGAACATAATGCATACTCAAATAGTGAATCCAAAAGTTTTCTTAAATGGATGTATACCTCCATTCACCCCTAACTGCCCATCACCTTCCTCTTCCCTTTCTAATGTGACTACCTTCACCATTTGAACCACAGTCAGGTACTTAATGAATCAGAATTAAAATTAATCTGGGAAATAAGTAGCTAAAAAAATAGCCTCGAAATATCTTTCAGAAAGGAGACGTAATGAATCAGGACCAGCCCTACCTAATTTTAAAGCATTTATGAAACTACAATAATTAAGCAGTGTGATTCTGACACCGAGAAAAACTAGATCAGTGGGATAAAATAGGAGATATTGCTGTGTTCTCAACGACATCTGGAGATGAGCACACATGATGAAGTGGAATTATTTTAAATCAGTGAGGAAAAGGTGGATTATTCAGCAAATATTGGCTCGATTGGTTAGTTACTTGGGGAAAACAAAAACAAAAACTGGATCCCTACCTCATGCTAGACAGATCAAAGGTTTTTTTTTTTTTAAGTGGGGGTTGTAGTACAGATTATTTTGTCATCCAGGTATTAAGCCTAGTATTCATTAGTTCTTTTTCCTGAGCCTCTCCTTCCTCCCACCGTCCACTCTCCAATAGGTCCCAATGTGTTTTGTTCCCCTCTATGTGTCCATGTGTTCTCATCACTTAGCTCCCACTTATAAAGTGAGAAAATGCAGCATTTAATTTTCTGTTTCTGTGTTAGTTAAGGATAATGGCCTCCAGCTCCATCCATGTTCCTGCAAAGGACATGATCTCATTCTTTTTTATGGCTGCATAGTATTCCATGGTGCATATATGTACTACATTTTCTTTATCCAGTCTACCACTGATGGGCATTTAGGTTGATTCCATGTCTTTGCTATTGTGAATAGTGCTGCAGTGGACATATGCATGCATGTGTCTTTATAATAGAGTGATTTCTATTCGTTTGGGTATACCTAGTAATGGGATTGCTGAGTTGAATGGTATTTCTGTTTTTAGGTCTTTGAGAAATCGCCATACTGTCTTCCACAATGATTGAACTAATTTACATTCCCACCAATAGTGTATATGCATTCTGCAACCCAAAGTTTTAATAGTAAAAATGTAACTAAAATTACCAGAAGAAAACATGGTTAAGTTTTTAATAATCTTGAATAGGTGGAGGGCTTTCTGAATGTAAACCCAAACTCAGAACCCATAAAGAGAAAGACCAATAACTTTGCCTGCATTGGATGAAAATACTTCTACTTAAAAAAATACTGTAAGCACACTCAAAAGGCAGTTGAAAAACTGGGAAAACATGTGTGCATGACACATGTCAGGCAAAGGGATTATTTCCTTAATATAGAAAGAACTTCCACAAACCAGTAAGAAGAATTTGATATTTCTATAGAAAACTAGGCAAATGATATACAAAAGCCACTCACAAAGGAAAACAGATGTTAATAACCATGAAAAAAAAAAGGTCTTTCTTACAGTTACATGAAATCAAATTAAATTAGATACCATTTTCCAGCTTTGACATTGGTCAGGGAATGGTGTATGTACAGGTACTTTTCTCAAGGCAGTTTACACAGTTGTGTTTGTACATTTCTTTGTGGGATTATTTGATGTGTGTTTGTCCTCCCAGCTAGACTTTAAGCTCTATGAGTTTAGGGCTTGTATGGTGTTTTTCTCATACCTTTATCCCCTGTAGAACCTGCACATTGTTTGGACTTAATAAATATTTGTTGAGTGAGTGAATGAATTGATGCATGAGAATACATAGAAAGTTCTGGAATCTTACACAAGAAACTAATAATAGGGGTTACCTCTGGAGAGTGGGATTAGGTCCAAGGAGAGGAAAAGAGGTTGCTTTCAGTTTATTGTTTTATCTCTTTCTTATTATTGAAGTTTTAAAAACAGGCATGGATAATTTTGTGATTCATATTTTGAAAATAGCTTACATGTTTAAAATGAATGTTCAAGATGGCAGTGAAGAGAGGGTGTAAAGAGGCCAACTTCTGATGCACCACATTATCTCAACATGTTGATAGGGAATCAGAGGGTCAGTCTGGGATGGAAGCCCTCAGGAGAGTGCTGAGGGGCAAGGAGGATACAGCCAAGAGTCCTGGTCAGCCACCCCTAAGGGGCTGGTTGAGCTCTAGAGGCACAGGCAGAGATAAGGAAGAAACAAGTGGGTGTTGAGAGTCCAGGGAAGCAGGAGAAGTCAAGTTTGAGATGTCTGCCAAGCCAGAAGAGATCCACAGGCAGCATTCTGAGTCCAGGAGATCTGAGAGGCCAGGAATGATATGGGGCGATGCACTGGTCTGGGTTTGCTGGCAGCCCGAGCAGAAAGTGCCGTTCTCTGCCTCTGTCATCCCTCCCATTGACTCCCTCCCTCTGATGGTTATTCTGGCCAGAACACCAGCAATGAATCCTGACTTCACGCAGGCACCAGAATTGATTCCTAAGGAATTCAGCTGCCTCCTCCCAGTGATATACGAGCCCCTCAGCAAAGCACTTGAGCCCCTCGATGCTCCCCTCCATGATCTGGCCCCTGCCCACCTCATGGGAATTCCCTTCAACTCAGTGTGCCAGCCACGGCCAACTTCTTACAATCCCCACAATGCACCATGAGTTTTCTTGCCTCTGTGACTTGGCTTTTTCTGTTCCCTCCAGTTTGGACTTCCCTATGCCCTCCTCTTCCCCACCCCCTAGCCAGGTCACCTAATGACCATCAGCTCGTCTTTCAATCATCCTAGGTCAGCTCAACAATGAAGGCTTTCCTGACATGCCACCCAGGTGGAATATCCAATTTCTGTTTGTGCCATCAGTGTAGCATGGATGGACTTCTCTTAGAGTACCTGTAACACTCATGAACATTGTACCTATTCCACTACATTGAGAGTTTCTCAAGGGGAAGATCTATGTTTTAATTTTCATTGAAGTCCTAATCTGGCACATTATATTGAGTAGATTGATGGAAGGGTAGAAAGATGGATGGATGGATGGATGGATGGATGGATGGATGGATGGATGGAAGAGTAGATGTATAGATGAATAGATAGATGAATGGAAGTTAAGCTCCAAGAAGGAAGCTCCTTTGTTTTCTCCTGTATCTCCCATTGCTTAGCACAATGAGTAGCACATAGGAGATGCTGAAAAAAATTGTTTAGTTAATTGAAGGATGATCAGACATATGGACGGAAGTTTGGATGGACAGACGGATGGATGGATGGATTTTGATTGCAAGTATGTATGGTCACCTTGATATAGAGTAAGGTAGACATTGTCCAAAAAGCTGCCCCCTCATTATTTTACCCTGGTCCATTGCCATGATGTTAATTAAAATCTCAAAGATCATTTCTTTTTTTTTTTTTTTTTTTTTTTTTTTTTTGGAGACAGAGTCTCGCCCTGTCACCCAGGCTGGAGTGGTGCAGTGGCATGATCTCGGCTCATTGCAACCTCCACCTCCGGGGTTCAAGCAATTCTCCTGCCTCAGCCTCCTGAGTAGCTGGGACTACAGGCATGTGCCACCATGCCCGGCCAATTTTTTGTATTTTTAGTAGAGACAGAGTTTAGTAGCCAGGATGGTCTTGATCTCCTGACCTTGTGATCTGCCTGACTCGGCCTCCCAAAGTGCTGGGATTACAGGCGTGAGCCACCGTGCCCAGCCAAGATCATTACTCAAACAACTCCAGCACACAATTTCCCTGTCAGTTACACTCCATGGCTGAGTTTTATCACACCACATGGCGTTATGCCCATGAGTGTCACTACTGTTTAGGGGACAAGGGAAAGGCTTTTCAGAGAACTTTCAAAGGCCACAGTCCATGCTCCTGGGGGCTAATTGATCTCCAAAACCTGACTAACCTGTGACATTTTCATAGCTACCCAAGACTCAGCTGGAGGTCTAAAAAACCATTCCATGCCTGGAAGTTCTGAAATGGAGCCCTAGATCTTTTAGGAGGAGTTGGGGGACTGAAGCAGGTGTTCACAAGTCCTGCCAGGTCCCAGGAGCTCCTTGATACAGAGATGAGGAAACAGGGAGAATGAGTCTCTTTCCTCTTAAGCCCCTATGAGGCGGATGTCACCCAGGACTCTGTGGGAAAGTTGCAATGATAATGCAAGAAAGGCTGACCCCTGGGAGAGAAGGAGGGATGACAAAGGAGGTAACTAAAAATCTTGTTTGGATTACATGGAAAGGGAAGGTTCTTAGGCAGTCTGAAGCCAAACCACCAAAAGAATAAGATGTAGAAAACAAAGATGGAGAATTTTCAGAATTGAGTTCAAGAACGAAGCTTGAAGTACATGTGGAGATTAAGGTGGTGACTTTCTGAAAAGAACATAAAAATATTTGTGAATCATTTATTAATTCAACCATGAACACTGAGTACCACAAAGACAACAGGATTTGTTCCTGCCCTCACAGGCTTCAGGCTGGCTGGGGAGACAGACCCCCTACCCACTAGTTTACTATAAGAGAAACAGCAGCTCATAGCAGGAATGGGGTCCCACTGTGCAGCACAGCAGGGTGACCCCAAGTCAGCCTGGGAGCTTCGGGGACACTTCCCAAAGGAGCTCATCACTGGGGCCGGGACCTGCAGATGCAGATGCTTTTCCGAATTGGAGTAGGGCATGCCTCTCGCAGAGGAATGGTTTCAACAAACCAAGCCTGAATCTGTTTCCCACTGCCAAGTCTCTTAAAAGGGGTTTCCAGGCTAGTGTACAAACATTTCTTAATCTGATAATTTCCTGTCTTGTTTCCTAATAAATTTAACAGTAAAAGAAAGCCTTCTGGCATTGTCTGTGTTATTGAATTCCTAAATCTTTAGTTTCAGAGACCTTCACTTAGATTATTAGCAAACATTTATCGACTCCCTTCTCTGTGCCAGGTTGTCTCTGTCTATTATCCCATTATAGCCTCCCAGCCATGCTAGGGGGTAGATAGTATCAAACACTTTACAGAGGGAGAAATACACTCAGAGAAGCCAAGTCAAGAGCCCTAGCCACACAGCTGGAAGCCGGTAAGGTGGGAATCTGAACCCGGCCAGGTCCGTCCGATGCCCATTCAAGGGCTGCTGCGTTGCTGCACCCCAGCTGCTTCCTTCCCCTTTGTTAAAGCTGAGACATGGTGCCAGGACCCCCCCACCCTTTACATTCTGGGGTCACTTAACAGAAGACCAAGTCTAGCTTGTCAGGCAGGACTTAGCAGAGTCAGCTCTCCTCCTGCAGCCAGAGACAAACAAGGCAGTGCCCAAGCCTGTGTCCAGAGTACCAAGGCTTACACGGTCAGCCCCTCCCCAGCACAGCCTTATACAATCATCTCCTGCTTGTAGCTCCTTCCCCAATGCTACACCATAACCACCCCCACACAGGGAAGTAAACCTTTGGTTGCTCACACTCTAATGCTGGAGATAGACAACACATTAACAGATAATATATAATATAGTATAACACAGTGGTAGGTGCTATAAAGAAGAAATAAAACAGAGTGAGGGGATGGGAGAGCGATGCAGGGTGTTATTTTTTAGTAAAGCATTCGGAAAGGTTTCTCTGATGGCTCGGCACAGTGGCTCATGCCTGTGAAAGGAATCCCAGCACTTTGGGAAGCCGATGAGGGCGGATCACTAGAGCTCAGGAGTTTGAGGCCAGCCTGGCCAACATGGCAAAACCCCCTCTCTACAAAAAAATACAAAAATTAGCTGGATGTGGTGGTGTGCACCTGTAGTCCCAGCTACTTGAGAGGCTGACGTGGGAGGATGGCTTGAGCCTGGGAGGTGGAGGTTGCAGTGAGCCGACGTCAGGCCACTGCACGCCAGCCTGGACAATAGAGCCAAATACTGTCTCCAAAAAAAAAGAAAAAGAAAAGTCTCTCTGAGAAGGTGACATTTCAGCAAAGAGCCCTAAATGAGTAAGAGAGCAGGCTGTGCATCTACCCGAGAGAAGAGAGTTCAGGAAGAGAGCAGAGCAAATGCAAGGGCCCTGAGATGAAAATGTGTTTGCTATGCCCAAGAAACCCCCAGGAGAGTCATTTTATTATCTTTGCCATCCCCGCCTTCCTACACACTAGGTAGATTCTTCCCTAGGCCAGGCCCAAAAGAAATTGGCAGTCGGGAATTGCCTGGAACAACTAAATTCTACACAGCAACATGGGGAAAAGTGAAAAGCATTTTAAGACAACAAGTTAACCAACTCTCAGTTTCATAACTGATAAGTACCAGTTAGATATTGTGCATATGCAGCTTAACAAACTACCTCCAAATTCAGCGGCTTAAAACATCAACCATTTTCTATTGCTCAGTGCTCTGTAGGTCAGCTGGGTGCTTCTTTGATCTTGGCCAGGCTCACATATGAGTCTGTGGTGAATTGCTAATCTTGGCCGGACTCTCTTACATTTTTAGGAGTTGGCTGACTGTCCATTGGTCTAGGAGAGCCTTGGCTCTTCTCCATGTGTCCTTCTTATCCTCCAGCATGCTAGCCAGGCTTCTTCTCTTGGTGGCGGCAGGGTTCTAAGAGAGAAGAAGCAGCCAAGACCTTTTGAAGCCTACACTTGGAACTGGCACCCTAACATTCCCATCACATTCTGGTGGCCAAAGCAAGTCACAGGCTGGCCAAGATTTAATGGATGGGCAAATAGACTGTTGATGGAAGGAACTTCAAAATCATCTTGCATGCATATAGACAGGGGTGAAAAATGGAGACCATTTTTGCAGTCAATCTACCCAAACAGATAAGGAATCAGAGACTGGAAAGCATAACACTGCTTAATTCTGGAGCAAGCAACTATGACTTCTGGCCCCCAGGTTTTAGTGGGGAGTCTAGAATATTTTACCTATTCTGACGGAAGCCTCATCAACAAAGCTTTTTTAAACTCTGGTCAGCCTAGGGGTTTTAAGGATGTCCATTAAGTCCAAGAGGACTTTGAGGGCTCTGAAGACCAGTAAGTACCCTGGGTCAAGCCCAGAGGTTTTCGCTTAATAACTACTGGTAAAGGAAAACTAACTCCATACTTGATAAATCTACATAGTTCTGTTTACCCACCAGCCATGATCCCCTAAATCCCCCCAAAAATGACTGCAAAATATATGGAAACCCCAGGAAGCAAAAGAACCAGAGCTAATGAGTTATTTCACTGTTTGTGCTTAATTTGTTATTTCCAACAGATTTTGAGGCAACTTATAAAAATATGTACAACATTGTATCATAGACAACAAAAGGCAAAAATGTTAAAAATGCATTTCCTTATTTACACATGGGCTGCAAATTTGGCTGTGAGCTTCCTAGTAGGAGCTGAAGGTAAGAAACACATCTATGCTATGTATCTGTAGACTTTGTCTTTTGTCCCATGGGGGCAAATTGTAAAGGTTTTCCATTTGAGGTTAATGGTATTTCAGCACCCACGAAGTTTGTATACTTGCCTATCAGTTCCTGGGTAATAATGCCAGGGAAAACATCTCACATATGGTTATACTGCGAGTTCCAGAAGGGCAGGGATCCAGCTGTCTATGTATGACCATGTTCCCTAGTTGTGCCTGGCAGAAAGTAGGGATTGAGTAACCAAGAAGCAGTATGCTGAGTGGCTAAGAGATTGAGCTCTGGAATCAGAAGACTTGGTATTCAATTCCTAGCCCCATTTTTAGGATCTACGTGACCTTAGGCAAATTACTGAACATCTCTAAGTTTTATTGCATTCCCTATAAAGTAGAGATAATAATGGCAAATATTTTATAACACTTCCTCTATGCCAGGTATTTTCCAAATGTTTTATACATATTAACTTTTTTAATCTTCCTCCAACCCTGTGAGGTAGGCACTATTAATATTACCATTTTACAGATAGGAAAACCAAGGCACAGAATGATTATACTTACTTGCCTAAAGCTACACAAGTAGTAAGTAAAGCAACCAGGGTTCAAACCCAGGCAATGTCAACCCCGAGCCTTTGCTCTTAACAGTTACCTTATACTGTCTCCTAATAAATGTTGGATTTCCTACCATATAGTGTGGCTGAGAGGATTAAAATAAATCTGAATTTAAACATGTAAAATGCTAAGCAGAGTGCCTGGCCCATAGTTTGTACTCCATAAAAGTTGGCTGTTCTCCTCCTTCTCCTCCTTCATCACTACCACCATTATCATCATTGAAGGTTGGATGGATCAATGCTGATGGTTCTCTTACTTGGTTTTCTCTTCGTAGATAAGTAGCATCTGATATGGTTTGGCTCTGTGTCCCCACCCCCTCACCTTGAATTGTAATCCCCATAATCCTCACATGTCAAGGGCGGGAGCAGGTGGAGGTAATTGGATCATGGGGGCAGTTTCCCCCATGTTGTTCTCCTGAAAGTGAGTGAGTCCTCACGAGATCTGATGGTTTTGTAAATGCCTGGCATTTCCCCTGCTTGCACTCACTCTGTCCTGCCGCCCTGTGAAGAAGGTGCCTGCTTCTCCTTTGCCTTCTGCCATGATTATAAGTTTCCTGAGGCCTCCCCAGCAATGCGGAACTGTGAGACAATTAAACCTCTTTCCTTTCTAAATCACCCAGTCTCGGGTATTTCCTCATAGCAGTGTGAAAATGGACTAATATAGCATCCCTGTCCCCTGCGTTCAATAAAAAAACATAGACACAGAGAAAAGCCCAGAGGAGAGTGAAAGGATGTCAGGGTGTTCTATTTGCCAAGGGGCCATCCTATACATCTAGAAAAGTAGGCACATTGGGAGGCAGCAATGCACCCTGATGGCCTCTATCAGAGACACAGTGCCAGACATGGTTGGCCCAGGGTTCTGCCCAGAGCAGCAGCTTTCATATTTTTTGTTCAAAATGACCTTACCAAATGGTTGTCTGTCTCCAGTTGCACAAGATTTTGGGAAGATGATCTGCAAGACCATTTGAATCCAGACATTAAATAAACAGGACTGCACATCTGTGGGAACAGGGTATTTATCAGGTACTTTCTATAGGCCAGAGGCTTTAAGTATATTATCTTGTTTAATCCCTGCAATAAACCTATGAAGTAGATAGTTTAACCCCTCTTTGCTGATGCAGAAGCTGGCTGGAGAGCAGGAAGTTCTTTGTCCCAGTTGCACAGAGGGCAGCTGCAGGATGGTATCAAGCTCTGGCAGTGCCGGTATCTTGTCCCTCTTGCTCTACCCCACCTTGCCGCCAGGCCAGTCCCAGAGCAGAGAAACCTTGAATAAATGGGAATGTGGACAATCAAAGGCATTAGTTTGCCCTTTTTTAGGACCCATAAACCCTTTGGAGAATTTGAATGAACTCCCCCCTTAGACAAATGCACAACACACTCAAAGTAACAGAATTTCAGGGAGACCGTGACCCTCCAGCCCACTGTGGATCCTGGCTTATGTTCATTTGCTCTCCAGGGAAATTATTTCCTTTAGGTCCACTCAAACTCATATTTGAACCTCAGTTCCCTCTGTATCTAAACTTGGGTCTTCATCACCAGGCCACGGCTGCCCTTGACCCCAATAGTGGAAATTGATGAGTAGTCCAAAACTCAGGCCTGCATCTGACACTAAAACATGATGCTAGGACCTTCTCCCTGACCAAGCATATTTTTACATGAAAAATAAATAAATAACTTCAGTTTACCTGTATACCCCATGTAGAGTCTCCAATGAGGAAAAAGAAAATTAAACCCTGGTATATAATCTTTGTGTAATAGATCAATTATAGATTTCCCTAATCTCTATAATCTAACTCTCAAAGCTTCTTTGAATAATTATATTTCCATATTTAAATTTCATAATCCTCTAAAAGAAGGAGAAATAATTCCAAGGGAAATTGTTGATTCTTTTAATAAGGGACAAAGTAGTCGAAAGCTGGGTTAGTGCACGTTAACTGACTTTCCTCTCAGTTAACATATGTTGGGAACCTACTGTTTGCTTAGCACATGCAAAATACTTTGATACACATGATCTCATTTCGCTCTCATACCTCACTCCCATCCCCAGAAGTCCGATGAGGAAAACAAGGTCATTACTATCACCCCCATTTCACAGAAGAGGAAACTGAGGTCCAGAGAGATTCTATGACCTGCCGAAAGTCAAACACAGTGAGAAGTGGCAGAGCTAAGACTGAAGCTCTGGATTCCAGTCTCCAAGTCCCATTTGCTCAGGCCTCCAAGTCCCAGTTGCTCAATATGTGAAGCAACATTTTAAAACAAAGATCTGGGTTGTTGACTTGCTGCAAATAGTGCAAATACTAAGAAAGCAATCCCGTTGAGAATATGTGAGTCATCTGTACTATTAATTAGACAACCTTCTCCCCAACATTCAGGGCCCAGGTCTCGAGTCTCCTTTGCTGTGAAGTCCCCTCTGACCATCATCCCCTTTCCCTAACTAGAGGGTCTCCTTACCCTGAAAATTGGGTCACATGTTGGAGTGGGTCATGATTATATGGCACTTTTTGCAGTGAACTCTTTAAGGGGTGGTAAGTTCCTGAATTAGTCAGAGACACCAGGACCATCAGATGAGGAATTGGCCCAAGATTCATTGCCGTGGCAACAGCTACTTGACTTAGCCTCTGACTTAATGTCTTGGCAGGTGGGCAAACCAGAGGAAGTAAGGATGACTCAGTGTGTTCCTGCCTGAGCTGAACAGGAGAATGACATGGCTGTCAAGGGAGAGGCAGGAGGCTGGGCTTGGATGGTGAGCATTTCTGGGAAGGTCTTTTCTTCCCTGAAAGCTGAGGGTTCCTAAAGTACAGCACTAGGTAGTGCCCAGGAAATGGTGAATCTGTGTCATAGCCCACAGTGTTTTCAGACTGCCCATGTCGACCCATTAGTGGATCATGATGTCACTTTTGTTGCTGCAGTCAGCATTTTTTATTACTAAGATGGAAGAGAAGTGAAAAGGAAAACAAATGAGAGTGCCTCACATGTAGTAAGGGTCACTGTTATTTTCCATTAATATTTTAATGGAAATTATGAAGAGTGTGTGTGTGCATGTGTGTGTGTGTGTGTGTGCGCACACACACACCAGGCTGTGATATAAAATATATTCTTACTCTGAGTCACAGTCAAAAATATTTGAAAAAAACAAGATTGGATTAGAGTCTTAGAAGAAAATCCATTGACTAATTTCCTGATTATGGAAACATTAAAATCTAATGGTCATCTGTATCATTCATCCATTATTCTTTTTTTTTTTATTTTTTTGGAGACAGAGTCTCACTGTGTCACCCAGGCTGGAGTGCAGTGACATGATCTCAGCTCACTGCAACCTCCGCCTCCCGAGTTCAAGTGATTTTCCTGCCTCAGCTTCCTGAGTAGCTGGGATTACAGGCACCCACCACCACAGCCAGCTAATTTTTTGTATTTTTAGTAGAGACGGGGTTTCACCATGTTAACTAGGCTGGTCTTGAACTCCTGACCTCAGGTGATCCGCCCACCTCGGCCTCCCAAAGTGCTGGGATTACAGGCGTGAGACACCACACCCGGCCCTGTTATTCATTATTCATTATTTATTTATCCAAAAAGTCATCTACTAGGGTTCCCTACCCCGTTGTCTCACCCTCTGTTAGATGTGAAGGTGAAATATTTAGGAGAAAGTGAGTAGCTCAGTGTGTCTGGAGCCACCAATCAGGCAGTGGGGACGAGAGCAGGAGTGTGAAAGGCCCACCTTACAAAGGTGCCCATCTTCAAAGGAGGAGCCTTTGCTGAGGCCTTGTGGTTCAGGCAGGGTGAGGAGTGGACTTTAACTTCTGGTCTTGGCATTCTGTCTCCCCTCACCTGCTAGTTGGTTTAAATTATTTAACACTTGTCTATTGACACTATTTTATTTCCAGATTATTTTGTCCATGCCAGTGTCATCTCTTCAGTTTTAAATGACTTGAATATGTCCTCTTCTTTTGCATCTCCAAAAAGCTGGGCAGGTATTGCCTAGGTTTTCTTCTAGGGTTTTTATGGTTTTAGGTCTAATATTTAAGTCTTTAATCCATCTGGAATTAATTTTTGTATAAGGTGTAAAGGGATCCAGTTTCAACTTTCTACATATAGCTAGCCAGTTTTCCCAGCACCATTTGTTAAATAGGGAATCCTTTCCCCATTTCTTGTTTTTGTCAGGTTTGTCAAAGATCAGATGGTTGTAGATGTGTGGTATTATTTCTGAGGGCTCTGTTCTGTTCCATTGGTCTATATCTCTGTTTTGGTACCAGTACCATGCTGTTTTGGTTACTGTAGCCTTGTAGTATAGCTTGAAGTCAGGTAGCGTGATGCCTCCAGCTTTGTTCTTTTGGCTTAGGATTGACTTGGCAATGCGGGCTCTTTTTTGTTTCCATATGAAATTTAAAGTAGTGTTTTCCAATTCTGTGAAGAAAGTCATTGGTAGCTTGATGGGGATGGCATTGAATCTATAAATTACCTTGGGCAGTATGGCCATTTTCACGATATTGATTCTTCCTATCCATGAGCTTGGAATGTTCTTCCATTTGTTTGTATCCTCTTTTATTTTGTTGAGCAATGGTTTGTAGTTCTCCTTGAAGAGGTCCTTCACATTCCTTGTAAGTTGGATTCCTAGGTATTTTATTCTCTTTGAAACAGTTGTGAATGGGAGTTCACTCATGATTTGGCTCTCTGTTTGTCTGTTATTGGTGTTATTGGTGTATAGGAATAGGCAAGGACTTCATGTCTAAAACACCAAAAGCAATGGCAACAAAAGCCAAAATTGACAAATGGGATCTAATTAAACTAAAGAGCTTCTGCACAGCAAAAGAAACTACCATCAGAGTGAACAGGCAAACTACAGAATGGGAGAAAATTTTTGCAATCTACTCATCTGACAAAGGGCTAATATCCAGAATCTACAAAGAACATGAACAAATTTACAAGAAAAAAACAAACAACTCCATCAACAAGTGGGCAAAGGATATGAACAGACACTTCTCAAAAGAAGACATTTATGCAGCCGACACATGAAAAAATGCTCATCATCACTGGCCATCAGAGAAATGCAAATCGAAACCACAGTGGGATACCATCTCATACCAGTTAGAATGGCGATCATTAAAAAGTGAGGAAACAACAGGTGCTGGAGAGGATGTGGAGAAATAGGAACATTTTTACACTGTTGGTGGGACTGTAAACTAGTTCAACCATTGTGGAAGACAGTGTGGCGATTCCTCAGGGATCTAGAACTAGAAATACCATTTGACCCAGCCATCCCATTACTGGGTATATACCCAAAGGATTATAAATCATGCTGCTATAAAGACACATGCACATGTATGTTTATTGCGGCACTATTCACAATAGCAAAGACTTGGAACCAACCCAAATGTCCATCAATAATAGATTGGATTAAGAAAATGTGGCACATATATACACTATGCAGCCATAAAAAATGATGAGTTCATGTCCTTTGTAGGGACATGGATGAAGATGGAAACCATCATTCTCAGAAAACTATCGCAAGGACAGAAAACCAAACACTGCATGTTCTCACTCATAGGTGGGAATTGAATAATGAGAACACTTGGACACAGGAAGGGGAACATCATACACTGGGGCCTGTCATGGGGTGGGGGGAGGGGGAAGGGATAACATTAGGAGATATACCTAATGTAAATGACGAGTTAATGGGTGCAGCACACCAACATGGCACCGTATACATATGTAACAAACCTGCACATTGTGCACATGTACCCTAGAACTTAAAGTATAATAATAAAAAATAAATAAATAAAATGTCGAGCAGGGTTGGAAACACAGCAGGTGTTCAATAAGTGCTTCCACTGTGTTGACAAATACTTAATACTTGTTCTTTAGGTCTCTGATAAGACATCCCTTCATTCATAACCTTCTCCCACCATAGAGCATTTAACAAATGATTTTGCAGCTATGTGTGTAACAACGTGTCTCCTTCACTTACACTGGGAGCTCACTGATCATGGGATTATGTGTGTTCTCTCCCTCACTATATCCTCAACCCCAAACGCAGCACAATGTCTGCCTTGTTCCTTGTATCCTCAGTAGGATACTTGGTAGGTGTATCTGTTAGTTTTCACCACAATAACGGTGAGTAACTAACATCCCCACTCTCTCAGTGGCATACCAAATAAGCATATGTCTTTATGGGCAGCTGGGGCAGCTCTAAGCTGCAGGCCGGTTCTGGATCTGCTCTGTGTGTCTCTTATGCCAGGCTAGTCAGGGCATGTTTTTCTTTTCTTTTTCCACCTTCAGATCTCCAGTTTTGCAGACAGCACATGTTTTTCTTTTTTCTTTTCTTTTCTTTTTTTCTTTTTCTTTTTTTTTTTTTGACAGTCTTGCTCTGTTGCCTAGGCTGGAGTGTGGTAGCACAATCTCGGCTCATCACAGCCTCTGCCTCTCAGATTCAAGCAATTCTCCTTCCTCAGCCTCCCCAGTAGCTGGGACTACAGGCCACCCACACCCAGCTAATTTTTATATTTTTAGTAGAGACGGTGTTTCGCCATGTTGGCCAGGCTGGTCTCGAACTCCTGACCTCAGGTGATCTGCCTTCCCTGGCCTCCCAAATTGCTGGGATTATGGGCGTGAGCCACCACACCAGGCCTAGGGCATGTTTTTCTTATGACCAAGGCAGAGGCGCAAGAGAGCAAGTTCAATTTTACAAGTACTCTTCAGGCTTTTGACTCCATCGTGTTTGTTAACATAGCTTTGAACAAAGTAAATCAAGTAGTCAAACCCAAAGTCAAGAAGAAAGGAAAAGCACTCAACTTAGGGAGGTTGGGGTGGCAAAGGAAAGAGTGAATATTGCCAAATCATCTACCCAAGTAAGTTCCCAGCTTCTCACTGAATGTTTATGGAATGGAAAGGAAAGAAAGAGGATAATTGGATTCCAGGGATTTCCCATGGGTATTCACCATACAAGTTACAAAAGCCCATGGGGACTCTTCTACATCCTGACATATAGCTCCACAGAGAAAGCCAGAAGCCTTGTCAAACAGGTAACAGCCCGACCATCCAGAGCTAGATCTGTTGAACAAACAAAGTGAGCCCTCAGAAGCAATTTTCGGCAGAGACTATTCCCCCAGGGCACTGAGGGACCACAGCTGCCTTTGTGGGGAGAACAAAGGGAGTGACCTGACCACCAGAGTCACAAGAAGTCACATCTAGGAGTGGATAGCAACCCTTCCAGGCCCGAGGAGAGGATTCTGTTTTGTGTTCTTTGGAAATGTGTATGTACAGACGAATGCCCACATGCTTGTTAAAATCAGTAGTCAGGACTTTGAAGAGACCTTTGCAAATAGCTGGGCATCCATTTCTAAAAGGAGTCCAGAGCGTTGGTTCCTACATTGGCTTTCTTTGCAGTACCAGCTCTGGCGTGGTTTGAGGTTGTGCAAGATGTTGCACCCTTCCCTCGGTTAACTGAAAAATAACAATCTGTTTTCCTTTCATTCTCTGTCTCCCTTCTGACTGCAGGGGTGCTGTGCCTACCAGACAGCCTGAATCTTCACAGAGACCCACAGCGGTCAAACAAGCCAGGGGAACTGCCCATGTTCAGCCAGTCGGAGCTGAGGACCATCGAGCAGTCTTTGCTGGCCACGCGCGTAGGCAGCATCGCCGAATTGAGTAAGTAGATGTTGGTTCTCCAGCTCTCATGCCTCAAGACATATCCTGTCTGTGCCCGAAGTGACACAATGTCCTCATGCCAACCCCTCAGGGCACTATTTTGTAATCAGCGGGGTGACACCTTTTATTGACTGCCTGCTGTGTACACTAAACAATGCCAGTGGCGTGGGGAAGGTAAGAGCTCTGAAGCTGGCACATTTCCTGGTTCCGCCATAAATGCAGGTCAGGTTCCTAAGCTTTTCTGAACCTCAGTTTCCTTTTCTATAAACTAGAGAAAATATCAATGCCTACCCAGAGTGTAGTTGCGGTGATTCAATGAGCTCACATCCATAAAGGTGTCTACCTAAATAACAAACAGAGAAGGAGATTCTCTAAAACAAAATCATGTTTATCTGGGAATAGGCCTTGCCGTGAGAATGTGCATGCCAGAGTATATTCTCAGAGAAATATTACGTGTGTATTCAGGGGGCTAAAGGAGGACAATGGTCTTTAATGGAAAAGTGAGGAGGAGGATTACAAAATTGTTTTTGAGATAATTATCGTTGGCTACAAGGATCAATAAATGACAAGGGTGGCACCAGTCCGAGTTTGGACTGGCAGTCGCTGGTCACATGTCTTCATATAAGTTGTGTGTGTGTGTGTGTGTGTGTGTGTGTGTGTGTGTGTGTATAAGGTTACCATGGCCTTCGTGCAAGGCTGTGATTTTTGCAGAGGTGTTCTGTGATAGTTCTTGTTATCAGGCATTTGTGCATGGAAATCTTCCCTTCATGGCCTTTGCTGACTCTCTTCATCAGGGATTTTAACACAAATGATTCCATTTTAATTCTGACAGCTTTCACAAGAGGGTTTGCCAAGGTGCCTGGCACATGGTAAATACTCTATAAATGGCTGGCCACTGTTGATTTCCACAATGAGATCCACTTAAAGCATATATCAGATCACATCTCTCCTCTGTTCAGAGTCCTCCACTGGCTCTGGTTCAGTGGTTCCCCATCTGACCCACAGGAAAAGCCAAAGCCCCAGAATTACTTCCATGTCCCCCCACCCCCTACCCTCCCCAGACATCCTCCTCCACCCCACCTCTGTCCCCTGCTTGTTCCTTGAGCACAAGAGGTTTACCACAGGACCTTTGCACTTACTCTTCCCTCTGCCTGAACTGTTCTTCCTCCAGGTATCCCCATGGCTCACTCCCTCACTACCTTCCCATTTCACCCAAATGTTACCTTCTCAATGAAGCTTTCTATGACCATTGTATTTAAAATCATAATACTCTGAGGACCCTTGTCTTAGTCAACTTGGGCCACTATAATGAAATACCATATACAGTGTGGCTTAAAACACAGACATTTATTCCTCATGGTTCTAGGGGCTGGGAAGTCCAAGATCAAGGTGGCAGACAATTCAGTTCCTGGTGAGGTCTCTCTTCCTGGCTTGCAGATGGGTACCTTCTCCCTGTGTTCTCGCAGGGTGGTGGGGTGGGGGAAGGTATTCCTCTTCTTATAAGTCCTCTAACCCCATCATGACGATCCGCCCTCATGGACTCATCTAACCCTAATAATTTGCCAAAGGCCCTGTCTCCAAATACTGTCACATTGAGGGGGCAGGGCTTCAACATATGGATTTGGGGTGACAGACATTCAGACTATGGCAACTTTTCTCCCCTTCATTGCTTTACTTTTGTCCCCAGAAGTTATCATCCTAAGATATACTCTATATTTTTGTTTTTTAATAATAGGTTTATTGAGATATAGTTCATATACAATTTACCTTTGTAGAGCATGCAATTCAGCAGTTTTTAGTATATTTACCAGGGTATGCAACCATGACCATAATCAATTTTAGAACATTTTTATTATGGCAACAAGAAACCCAGTAGCCATCAGCAACTACTCCCCTCCCCTCCCACCCACACTCTATATTTTATTTTTTTAATTGTCTCTCTCTCTCTCTCCCTACTATATAGAATATAGTAGAAACATTTTATTTGCTCACTGATGTAACCCCAGCACCAGGAATACTGCTTGGCATATAGTAGGCCCTCAGGAAACATAAAGGAAGGAAGAGAAAGAGAGAGGGGTTGGGAAATGGGAAAAGGAGGGAAGGAGGGAAGGAAGGAAGGAAGGAATGAAGGAAGGAAAGAAGGAAAGAAGGAAGGGAGGGAGGGAGGGGAAGGGAAGGGAAGGGAAGGGAAGGAGGGAGGGAAAAGAGGCAGAAAGATGCAAAGAAGGAAGGGATAATCAAGGTTGGGGTGTCCCAAGTTTAAGTAATAATTTACCATGCTTACATACCCCCTAATTCAGGGCTGTGCTCTGTGAGTCTGACTAACCAGAGGAAAGTAATCCTGTATTTACTTATGATCCAATTGATTATCAATTTAGCTGAATATTAGTTACTGATGGAATTGAAGCATTGATCACAGAAATGCTAGATTGTGTTAAAGTGGGGGTTGGTATTGAAATTCCAGCAAATCCTGAACTATGAAAGAATTTAAGACCCAAAATGCAACTTCCACTTCTTCCCAGAGGAGTTCCCTGTACACCCAGATAGGCACTCTCCATTAAACTTACGGCCTGCACCTCTGGAAAGGGAGTCAGTAGCTGATCCAAGCCATAGGGGGCGCTTATGGCCACTAGAGAGCTACTTTCCTGGCATCTGAATTTGGAAGTTGCGCTTCCATTCCCTTCAAACCTCTGAAGTCACAAAATGCCTCCTGTCCCAGGGCCTCCTAGCTACTGGTCAGTCCTGGGATTCTTCTGAAACTTTTGGGAGTTACAACACCTTTGGCAATGTGGTGAAACCTGTGGACCCTGTTTCAGAATAATATTTTTAAATGCATAATGTGCAAATGATTACAAAGGAAACTGATTACATTAAAATTCAATTATCATAATATTTTTAATCTCAATTGTGACATAGTAGTTCTCCGGGTTTCTTTTTTTCTTTTTTAATTAGCATGTGATATAACAAGATATAGCAGCAGGTCAGATGACCCCATGATTTGGGTGTAATATGTGTGAATGCTATTTTGAGATGTCTGCGACAAGTGGAATGGGGTAAGGAAATATCTACATTTTAATACGTACTCGGGGCGTTCAGAGGCAGAAGGTCCAAGCAGCACTCTTGGAGAGACATTGCTGTAAGACGAACTGCCACACATATGGGACTTCAATGTTTTCCAGGACATGCTCATGACCCTAGAAATGTAGGATCTGGCTACCGAGTTGGGACATAGCTTTGTGGGACAACCCCAGAAGAGGCCCTCACACCATGTGGCCCACACACACTGTCCCTAAGGTCTCAAAGCTTTGTCCTGGGATGTCTCAAAGTCCTCCCCCAGCCTCCAGCACCTGGACTGGGGCCCTGCGTAATTCTGGTGCTCTCTTCGAAGAAAGGATTTGCTAAACAAATCTGCTCTTCACCTAAGAGGCAGCCTGCAGGAGCTGCTTGCCACATAAATTGTTTTTAAGGACAATTTGCTCTGTAAATTAAATGCTGTCCTCATTGAATGTTGACTTTTGCATGTGAGTTGTTGGCACACAAATGGGTGTTGCTAATTGCGAATGGGTTTTGTACATTCATTAAGTCAGCCCCATAGAATGTGTGCACAAGGAAGCACTTTGATAAGTCACGTCGGCTGCTGAAAGGAATAAAATTGCCTTTTTTCTGATCTGACTGTAATTTAGATTGGCTTGCTTTGTGGTCTGAATCAATACAGCCTTGCTCTCTGTGTACATAGAGAGCTGTTCTTCATATTCAAAGGTTGCTCAGCCAATGTGGAAACCACTGTTTTTCCAAAAAAGGTGAGATGGAGTTTGTTCTCAGTCATTCCTGCTCTTGTTGAAACAGGGACACGTCTGGCCAGGGTCAAGAGTGGAGCCCTATTTTAGTAGCTAATAACAATAATAACGGCAGCAGCTGATGTTTAATGAGCCAGGGAACTATGATAAGTGTTTACAGGAGTTACTTCCAATATGTTATTATTGTCCTCATTCGATGATATGGGAATGGAAGCAAGAGGAGGTTAAACAACTTATCCAAGATCAACCACACCTGTGAATTGAATGGCTCAAAATTGAATCCAAGCTTCTCAAGGCAAAGCTTTTATACTTAACCACTAAACTACACTCCCTCCAGGGAAGTCCAGAAGATATTTCCACTCAGACTTGAGATTCCCCACCTCTGTACCATCAGGGTGTCAGTTGGGTCTGCATTCCCTGCAAATTGCTCTGAAGATTTGCAATTTGCTCTGTAGGGTGCACTGTGGATGCTCTCCTGTAAACTAAACTGCAGGTGTGAACATTCACAAAGGTTACCAATACCTCCCCAAATACAGCAAGTGCTGCGTCATGACATTCCAGTCAATGACAGACTACATATATGATGGTGGTCCCATAAGATCATAATACTGGCCAGGTGCAGTGACTCACACCTGTAATCCCAGCACTTTGGGAGGCTGATGTGAGCGGATTGCTTGAGCCCAGGAGTTGAGACCATCTTGGGCAACATAGTGAGACTTTGTCTCTACAAAAAATGAAACAAAATTAGCCAGGTGTGGTGGCATGCGCCTGTAGTCCCAGCTACTCGGAAGGCTGAAGTGGGAGGATCGCTTGAGCACTGGAGGTCAAGACTGCAGTGAGTCATGATCACACCTCTGCACTCCAGCCTAGGCGACAGAGCAAGATCCTGTCAAAAAAAAAAAAAAAAAAAAAAAAAAGAAAGAAAGAAGGAAGAGAAAGAAAGAGAAAAAATATTACTGCATTTTTTACTGTACCTTTTTTATGTTTAGGTATGCTTAGATACACAAGTACTTCCCATTGTGTTACGATTGCCCACAGTATCAGGACAGACACATACTGTACAGGTTTGTAGGCTGAGAGTGATAGGCTACACCCTACAGCCTAGGTGTGCAGTAGGCTCTGCCCCTAGGTTTGTGTAATGCAGTCTATGATGTTCGTCCAACAATGAAATCGTCTAAGGACATATTTCTCAGAACCCATCCCTGTTGTGAATCAATGCTGGGCTGTATCTAGACAGGGGACCACCTCTGCAGACTGGGACTTCTCCTGGTAACCCTTGCCTGTTTCCTCAGGGCCTCATATTAAAATCTAGAACTGTCTTGATCACCTGGAATGTCCAAAACACTTATCTTTGTCCAGTCTGTTATGGCTTGAGGTAAAAACATATCCACTATTTCTGGAGCACCTACTGTGTACCAGCTGCTTTGAATACCTTTAAGGTATTATTATTCCCATTTCACAGATAAGCAAACTGAGACTTTGGAAGGATAAATGTCTTGCCCAAGGCCACTCAGCTAGTAAGTGGCAGTCATAATTAAAATCATTTTTTTCTTTTTCCCTCTGCTGTGCTGTGTGCAAATCAGCTTTGTATTGTGAGCACCTAACACATCACCCACAACTAAGGAAATTTCCTTTGAATGTCAAATGAATAATGAATGACCTAAAGTGAACTTGTCTGAGAAACAAAAACTGAAGAAAATGCTGCAAGTGAGTAGGACTCTTAATGAAACTCAGTCAGATAATAAATTTTCTATTGAGCTGAATTTTGAACTCAGGGACGTAGAGCTGAACCTATGCCGGTTCTAAAATATTTCACGGGTAAGCTAAATCAAGAGGCCACGAAAATCGCCAAACTGACACCAGCTGGCAATTCTTTGATCCTGAGCCCTAGGAAATTTGCCAGGTGATGGACTTCACAGTTGACTTAGAGTTCGGTGGGCGGTCCAGTTCGTCTTTCCTGAACCAGTGAGTAGGGCTGGGAGAAGCAGGTCCACCCAATCCCCACAGGGCTGTGGGGAAGCAGAGGCCCTGGCTTCTCTCCCTTTAGGACTAATTTGCTTTTGGTCCCATCCAAGTCCATATTTGTGTCCTCTGAGACCTTGTCTTGGCTCTTCTGCCTGTCACCTCAGCCTTGCCCCCAAGCTCCCAGTTAAACCCCCAGCTGACAGTCATTAATTATAGTGTTTGCTTTCTGTTGTTTAAAGAAAAAAAAATGAGGACTTCTTCTAAAATGTCTCTTCCTGTTGTCTTTTCACACTAGAGTGTGAACTTGCTGTCCCCAGGCAATTAGGCAATCAAAACAGGACCATTAATTTACAACTGTATAAAAAGGTTTTCTGGGTTGTCTCTCCTCAGTGTCACAAGAAGAAAACGCAAACCCACAAAAACAGCGCTTTTTGCTTGGACAAAGTTGTCTTTCCCCTTGTTTGAAATGTAAGTGGGCTCTTTTCTGAGAGTCCCCTGCCTTCAGCCCCTAGGGTATACCTGTAATCTTCTCATGTGGTGAAGTGGCCACTGGCCTACTGATATTTCTTGAATATTCCACTCATGCCCCTACCACAAGGCCTTTGCACCTGCTGCTCCTTATGCCTGAAAAGCTCTTCCCCTAATATTCTCAAAGCTCCCTCGCTTCATTCAAGCTTCTAAAATGTCACCTCCTCAGAGATGCCCTCCATGACTGCCCCACCCACCTACCCCTCCCCACATCACTCCCTATTCCCTCTTCTGCCTTAATTTTCTTCTTGCACTTGTTACCACCTGACATGCTATATATTTGTTTATTTTCTGTCTCCCCCACCAAGACTGTAAATCCCACCAGAGCTGTAAATCCCATAAGAGTTGAAACTTTTTTTTTTGAGACGGAGTCTCACTGTTGTCTCCCAGGCTGGAGTGCAGTGGCTCAATCTCAGCTCACTGCAACCTCCGCCTCCTGGGTTCAAGCAATTCTTGTGCCTCAGCCTCCCAAGTAGCTGGGACTACAGGCATACACCACCATGCCCAGCTAATTTTTGTATTTTTAGTAGAGACGGGGTTTCACCATGTTGGCCAGGCTGATCTCAAACTCTTGAGCTCGAGCATTCTGCCCACCTTGGCCTCCCAAAGTGCTGGGATTACAGGCGTGAGCCATGGCGCCTGGCCAAGAGTTTTTGTTTTTTTTTTTTAACATCACTGAACCTCCAGTGCCTAAAACAATATTCAGCACACAGTAGGATACAATAATATTTGCTGAATGAATTAATGAATGGCAAGCTTCCAGCTGAATCCAGAGGTCAGCCTTCTTTCTCTTGTTGCATCTCTGTTCCTTCATCTCTCCTTCTCCATAAAAATCTCTCATTACCCTGTACCTAATGACCTGGATTATATGTGGTCTTTTTTCTTTTCTTGTTTCTTTCGCTTTTTCTCAAGGAGAGGAGTTTCAATCGGACGAGTTAAGCAGCAGTTTATAATACTGTGGAGTGACTTGGTTTCCTCATCTGTGCTGTGTGACTTAGGGCAAGTGACTTGATCACTCTGATTTCCAGTTTTATAGTCTGTGAGAAAAGGGTGACAATACCTCCTCTCCCAGGGTTGTGGGAGGTTTGGGAAATATACTAGAGTAAGTGGTAGCTGGCCATGGATGGAAGGAAGAGTAGGAAGGCAGTGAAGGTGCTGTATCAGCATGGGTTTGGGCAGAAGGAGCCCACCATTGGAATTTGTGACTCTTTGTCCTAGGGTGGTCACACTTGGCATGCAGGAACAGTGGTTTCTTGGGGGCTCCACAGATGATCCTGAGTCAGGTAGGTTAGAGTAGCATTTCCCCAAGGGTGGCACTGGAAATGATAGTAGGTGATGCACAAAACACCTTCTAATTTAAATTGCAATATATTTTTATGAGTACTAGGACAATATGAGTTTTCCATTTATGGCACTGATATGAAATTTTCTCTTAAAATGAATTTATATGTGTGAAATAATTAGCCAATTTAAAGAAAAACATTAAGTAAATAAATTGTATCAGCAGCACACAGATATGAGAGACATAATGATGGTGATTCCCAAATGGCTGATATTTGGGAAACATAGTTATTAGTGGATTGATTCTCAGGTAGGCTTCTAAAATCACACTCCATCTATCCAAACTCTGTTCAGTTAGTGACTATTGGATTTGTTGTTTTGGGATCATGACACTGACAAGGGAAGCAGCAGATAGCACATATTATAGAGCAGGGTTTGAAAGGAAGCTAGTAACTTCAGGGATCCCTGTGCCAACTCCATCTCCCATGGCTAGCCCTCCTCAGAGACATCTTTGAGACCTCTGACCTTGGGACTAGGCTGCTGCTGTTGCTACTGCTGCTGCCGTTGGTGATGATGGTGGCAGTGATGGTGACGGTGATGGAGATGATGACGGTGGTCATGGTGATGATGATGGTGATGGTGATGATGATGATTATGGTGATAGTGATGATGATGGAGATGATGATGGTGATGGTGATAATGATGATTATGGTGATAGTGATGATGATGGAGATGATGATGGTAGTGATGGTGATGGTGACAGAGATGATTTTGGTGATGATGATGGTGATGTCTGAGATGATGGTGGTGATGATAATGGTGATGGTGATGATGATGATGGAGATGATGATGGTGATAGTGATGTAATGGAGGTGGTGGTGATGGTGATGATGATGGTGACGGTGATGATTATGATGGAGATGATGGTGATGGCGATAATGACGGAGATGATGGTAGTGATGATGGTGATGGTGATGATGATGGTGATGGTGATGATGATGATGGAGATGATGATGGTGATGGTGATAATGATGGAGATGATGATGGTGGTCATGTTGATGATGATGGTGATGGTGATGATGATGGTGATGGTGATGATGATGATGGAGATGATGGTGATGGCGATAATGATGGAGATGATGGTGATGATGATGGTGATGGTGATGATGTGACAGTGATGGTGATGATGATGGTGATGATGACAGAGACGATAATCATGATGATGTACATGATGGCAATGATGATGGTGATGGGGATGGTGATGAAGATGAAGATGGTGATGGTAGTGATACAAAGAATAATAGTACTGAATTCTTATTAAGTGCTTACAATATACCAGACTCTGTTCCAAGTGCTTTAAATGCTTTATATGCATTTCTTCATTTAATACTATGAGGTAGGTACTATTATTGTCCTAATTTTGCAGATGAAATGAAGGTTAAGTACTTTATATATATTATTTGTTTAATCCACACAACAAATTCATTAGGTCATAATCATTCTCACTTACAGAGACATCAAATAACTCACTTAAGGTCACTCATCTAGTTAGTAGCCGGTTGGAGGCTCTCAGTCTGAGTCTGAAGAGCTGTTCCTAACCACATGCCACACTGCCTCCCCTTCCCGGAACAGGACAATGGATGAGGCATGGTCTCTGCTTTTGAAACTCAGTAGGGAAAGTAGATGTGTGGATAATTTACTGTGAAATGCAACAGAATTAAACATGTAATGTGTTAGACTTTATAAGCAGGCTTTGCAGGTATATAGAGAAAAGAGGGACTTGATTCTGACCAGGGACATCCTGGAGGGCTTCATGGAAGAAATAGCATTTGGTCATAGCCTTGAAGGTCTTCAATTGTTAGGAGAATGAAGAAAAGGGCAATCAAAGGTGGGAAAACAAGAACAGAAGAAGGGAACCGGGAAATGCAGGGCAAGCTGAAAGGTGCTCTGAGGAGATGGTGAGATGGTTAGCTCAACCAAGGCAAAGGGTACCTGACCGTCAGGCTTCCCAGTGCCTTGGGGAAATGAATGAGTGGAGTAGGGGCTCCAAATGATTCTCTTCTCTTCTCCACTTCCTTTTGAATCTTCTTGTTTTGAGCTTTTTAATGGAAGTTTTTGAGAGAGACAGAGGGAAAGATAAGCGTCTTCCACCCTCAACCTAGATGGAAGGTGCAAGAAAGTAAATGCCACCTCAGTAAGCTTATTATTCTGGTAATACAAGTAGCACATGCCATAATTCAAAGTTCAGAAATTACAGAAAACTTGGACAGAATGTCACTGATAATCCCACTAGGGAGAAAAGTCCTTGGTCAACACTTTGGGGTTTTTTTCTCCCTGGTATTTACTTAGTACATAGTTTTTAATAACATAATCCTGATTATACTGTATGCAATTTTGAATTTTGCTCTTTTCTACTTAACATTTTAATATGAGGATTCTTTTTTTGGTATTGCAGTTCTATGTAATCATCTTTAACGGCTGCAAAAGTTTATTATTTTATCATGTGGATGTACTAGAGTTTATTTAATCATGTTTTTTATTTTTAAACACTTGTTTGTCAAATTTTGGATCCCATATGTAAGGTTTGGGTGCAAATCCTTGTGCATGAAGATTTTGCTACATTTTGAATTCAAACATTGGGACAGATTCCCAGAAATGGAATTACTGAGTCAGGAGTTATGAGTAGTTGTTAGTACCTTTGCTACATAATGCTAAATTGCTTCAAGATGGACTGAGAGCTGGCCAAGGCTTCATTGGGCTGCCTTTGAAAGAGGGACTCCGATCATTTGGAATGAAGAGCGCAGACCTTAGAGTCAGACAGACCTAGGTTGGAATCTTGCCTGCCTCTTATTAACCCTGTAACCTTGGGCCTGTTTTCTTATCTGCAAAGCATTGTTCCTTAACTTTGGCACTGTTGTCATTTTGGACTAAATTATTTGTTGTGAGAACTGTCCTGTGCATTGCAGCATGTTTAGCAGTATCTCTAACCTCTAGATGCCACTAGCAGCCCCCTGGATGTGACAATCAAAATGTGTCCAGAAACTGCCAAATGTTCCCTGGGAGGCAAAAGCAACCCAGTGGAGGATTACTGCTGCAAAATTGAAATGATATTAATACATACCTTATAGAGCACTGTTAGGATTAAATACAATGTATATTAAGTACTTTCACAGCGTCCGATACAGCTTTTACTATTGTTATTAGTAATAGTGGTAATAATAGTTTCTCACTGCTGGATGCTACAGAAGGACTCTGGAGAAGACAGACTGGATTAGCTCGAAGGCCAGTCCTACTCTAGGAGCCTCTGGTTCTTTGATTCTTTGGCCAATCATCCAGCAATGTCTCCGTTCCTCTCAATCCAGTGGTCAGAGAGTGGCCTGCTATTTAGAAATGGAACACCTGCAATGCTAGTTACAGGAAAACCCCTCAGCCCTCACAGGACCCAAGCCTAGCATAGGGAGATGCCTGGAGTCCAGGAAACTGCATTATTCCAGAGAGGGGATTCACTCTTGGATAGTCCCTCCCTGCTCCCCACTCCTGCAAAACCAAGCTGCTGCGGCATAGCACCATTTTGAGAGTAGTCATTACTAGACTACATCCTGCCCTGGGTCCCAGTAGCCCCTGCATCTCCACACCCTTGGGACTCAGCTAACATCTCCCACATCCACTCAGAAGTCTGCAGCATTGCAACATCAGCTGGACCCAGCAATGCAGCCACATCCTCAGCACCTAAGCCCAGTCAGTGCCCTACACCATGGGGAACAGGCGGTCTTGCACATCAGGGAGTCTGCCTCCAGGACATAGGAAGCCAAAGCACACACTCCCCAGTACCTGAAAGCTTCCTGCCCCAGGGCCACCACCAATAGCAAACTTGCCCCCTCCAGTGGTCCCACACATCACTCAGGGACCTAAAGACAAGACCACCAGCATCAGTACCCAAACACAGCACCCAAGAGCCTGAGGATCAGCTCACCCAGGGTCTGCAATCACCAGCACCCATGTGTGCCATGCAGGGGCCCCAGGACAGACCCAACCAGGGCCCACTGCCACTGCTGTCCAGTGAACCTGCCACTTCAGTGGTGGGACCACCATGCACCATTTTGCACCATCCAGGAGCCCAAGGACTGGCCCATCCAGCATCCTTGTCCCCAGCAAAACCATACCACATCCATCACAAACAACTACAGTCTAAGCTAGTGAGGAACATGCAGACACTGCTGACATTGACTACAGTGGAAGAAATCATACAAAGGCTACACTGCTGCGCCCACCTGGAATCAAAGCCAAAGAACCCTACCCGACTAACACTATAGATACATCTACAGCAAAAAGTCTTTCCTTGCAAAAGCTACTCCATAAAATTAGAAAAAGCACCTGCATAGGAAACCTATTTAATAAAATAATAGCTGAAAACTTCAAAAGTCCTGTGAGTGATATAGGTGACATTCAGATAAGATAGCTCAAAGATCTCCAAATAGATTAAACCCAAAAAGGTCCCCTCTGGGGCACATTATAGTCAAACTGTCAAATGTCAAAGACACAGAAAAAATTTAAAACAGCAAGAGAAAAGCATCCAGCTACATATAAGGGAATTCCCATCAAACTAGAAACAGATTTCTCAGCAGAAACCTTATAGGCCAGGAAAGAATGGGATGATATATTCAAAGTGCTGAAAGGAATAAAAAAAAATCCTGCCAGCCAAGAAGACTATATCCAGCAATGCTATCTTTTAGAAATGAAGGAGAAATAGTCTTCCCAGGACAACCAAAAACTGAGGGAATTTACCACCTCTATGCCTGCCCTACAAGAAATGCTTAAGGGAGCCCTACATCTGAAAGTAAAAGGACAATATCTACCCTGAAAAAAAACACATGAATGTATAAAACTCACTGATAGAGCAAATACACAAATGAGAAACAGAGATGAATCAAACATTATTACTACAGAAAACTACCAAACTGCAAAGCTAAAGAATAAGAGAGGAAGAAATATATACAATATTATATACAATATACAAAACAATCAGAAAACAATTAACAAAATGACAGGAATAAGTTTTCACCTATCAATAACAACCTTGAATGTAAATAGTTTAAATTCTCCAATTAAAAGGTATAGACTGGCTGAAAGAATAAAAAAGTAAGACCCAGCTAGGTGCTGCCCACAGGAAACTCACTTCACCTGTAGAGACTCACATAGACTGAAAGTGAAGGAATGGAAAAAGATGTTCTACACAAACAGAAACCAAAAGCATACAACAGTAGCTATATTTATTTCAGACAAAAATAGACTTTAAGTCAAAAAAACATAAAAAGAGACAAAGAAGGTCATTATATAATCATAAAGGACTCCTTTTAGCAAGAGAATATAACAGTTTTAAATATATATGTACCCAACACCAGAGCACCCAGATATATAAAACAAACATTATTAGCTAAAGGGAGAGATTTACTGCAATACAATAATAGTAGGGGACTTCAACAGCCCACTTTCAGTAATGGACAGATCATCCAGACAGAAAAATCAACAAAGAAACATCAGAGTTAAACTGCACTTTAAGCCAAATGGATTTAACAGACATTATACAACATTTTACCCAACAGCCATAGAATACACATTTTTCTCAACAACACATGGAATATTCTCCAGTTTAGACCATATGTTAGGTCACAAAGCAAGTCTTGACAAATTTTTAAAAACTGAAATCATATCAAGTATCTTTTCAGACCACAAAGGAATAAAACTAGAAGTCAATAACGAGGAACTTTGGAAATACATGGACACTAAACAACATGCTTCTAAATGACCAATGGGTCAATGAAGAAATTTAAAAAGAAATTAAAGAGCCAGCCACAGTGACATGCATCTGTAGCTCCAGCTACTCAGGAGGCTGAGGCAGGAGGATCACCAGAGCCAAGGGCTTTGAGGCTATAGTGTTCTATGGTCACAACTGTGAATAGCCACTTCGTTCCAGCCTGGGTAACATAGCAATACCCTGTCTCTTAAAAAAAAAAAAAAAATTTAAGAAATTCCTTGACACAAATAAAAATGGAAACATAACATACCAAGATCTATAGTATACACAAAAGCAGTGCTAAGAGAAAAGTTTATAGCAATAAACACCTACATCAAAATAAGTAGAAAGATTTTTAATGAACTGCCTAACAATGCACCTTAAGGAACTAGAAAAGCAAGAAGAAAGCAAACCCAAAATTAGGGGAAGGAAAGAAATAATAAAGATCAGAGCAGAAATAAATGAAATAGAGACTAAAAAACAATACAAAGGATCAATGAAATAAAAAGTTTTTTGAAAAGATAAACAAAATTGACAAACCTTTAGCTAGACTAAGAAATAAACAGAGAAGTCCCAAATAAATAAAATCAGGGACAAAAAAGGAGGCATTACAACTGATACGACAGAAATACAAAGGATCATTAGAGACTATTATGAATAACTATACACCAACAGATTGGAAAGCCTAGAGGAAATGGATAAATTCCTGGACACCTACCACCTACCAAGATTGGACCATGAATAAATAGAAAACCTGAACATAACAATAACAAGTAATGAGACTGACTCAGTAATAAACATTCTCCTAACAAAGAAAAGCCCAGGACTGGATGGCTTTACTGCTGAATTCTACCAAACTTTTAAAGAAGAATTAACACCAATTTTTCTCGAACTATTCCAAAAAAACTTGAAGAGAAGGGAATTCTTCCTAACTCATTCTACAATGCCAATATTATCCTAATACTAAAACCAGACAAAATCACAACAAAAAAGAAAATTATAGATCAATATCCTCAGTGAACATAAATGCAAAAATCCCAACAAAATACTAGCAAAGCAAATTCAGCAGCACATCAGAAACATAATACATCGTAATCTGGTTGGATTAATCCTAGAAATGCAAGGAAATTCAGCATATACAAATCAATAAACACACACATCACATCAGCAGGGTAAAGAACAAAAACCACGTGAGTATCTCAATAGAGGCAGAAAATGCATGTGACAAATTCAACATCCCTAAACTCTCAACAAATTAGGCATAGAAGGAAAAAACCTCAACACAGTGAAGGCCATATATGACACACCCACAGCTAACATTATATTTAATGGGGAAAAGCTGAAAGCCTTTGCCCTAAGAAATGGAACAAGGATGCCCACTTTCACCACTCTTATTCAAATTGTACTGGAAGCCCTAACAAGCAATTAAGCAAGAGAAAGAAATGGCATCCACATCAAAAAACAGGAAGTAAAATGGTCCCTCTTTGCAAATGGCATGATCTTATATTTAGAAAAATCTAAAGAGTCCACCAAAAAACTGTTAGAACTGAGTAACAAATTCAGTAAAGTTGCAGCATACCAAATCAACATACAAAAATCAGTAGTGTTTCTATATGCCAATAACAAACTAGTTGAAAAACAAACCAAGAAAGCAATCCCATTTACAATAGCTACAAAAAAATTGCCTAGGGATAAATTTAACCAATGAAGTGAAAGATCTCTACAATGAAAACTACAAAACACTGATGAAAGAATTGAACACAGAAAATGGAAAGACATTCCATGCTTATGGATTGGAATAATTAATATTGGAAAATTACCATCCTACCCAAGAAATCTACAGTCAGTGCAATCCTTATCAAAACACCAATGACATTCTTCAAAGAAATCGAAAAAAACACCTTAAGGTTTATATGGAAATACAAAAAACCCTAAATAGCCAAAACAATCCTAAGCAAAAAGAGGAGGCATCATACTACTTGACTTCAAAGTATACTAAGCAATAATAACCAAAACAGCATGGTATTGGTATAAAAACAGACACATAGACCAATGGAACAGAATAGAGAACCCAGAAATAAATCCATATTTCCAGCCAACTGATTTTCAACAAAGGCACCAAGAACATATATTAGGGAAAGGACACTCTTTTCAATAAGTGGTGCTGGGGAAACTGGATATCCATATCCAGAAGAATGAAACCAGATCCCTATCTCTCACCATATACAAAAATCAACTCAAAATGGATTAAAGACTTAAATGCAAGGCCTGAAATGTAAAAATCCTAGAAGAAAACATAGGGGAAATGCTTCAGGACATTGGTCTAGGCAAAGATTTTAGAGGTAAGACTTCAAAAGTACAGGCAACAAAACCAAAAATAGATAAATGAGCCTATATCAAATGAAAAAGCTTCTGTGCATCAAAGGAAACAATTAACAAATTGAAGAGACAGCCTATGGAGTGGGAGAAAATAGTTGCAAACTATTCACCTGACAAAGGACTAATGTCCGTAATAGACAAGGAACTCAACCTCAAAGAGAAAAAAAAATCTGATTTTAAAGTGTGCAAAAGATCTAAATAGACATTTCTCAAAAGAAGACATACAAGTAGCCAACAAGTATATTTTTAAGTGCTTAACATCAGTAATCATCGAGGAAATGCAAATCAAAACCACACTGAGATATCTCACCCCAGTTAGAGTGGCTGTTATCAAAAAGAAAAAATAACAAATACTGGCAAGGACGTAGAGCAAAGGGAATCCTCACACACTATTAGTGGGAATGTAAATTAGTACAGTCATTATGAAGAACAGTGTGGAGGATCCTCCAAAAACTAAAAATAGAACTGCCATATGATCCAACAATTCCACTACTGGGCATTTATCCAAAGGAAAGAAAATTAGTATATCCAAGACATGTCTGCACCCTCATGTTTATTGTAACACTATTTATAAAACCAAGATGTGGATCAACCTATGATGAATTCATCAACAGATGAATGGATAAAGAAAATGTGTATATTTATACAATGGAATACCACTCAGCCATTAAAAATGAAATCCTGTCATTTATGGCGACATGGATGAAACTGGAGAACAATATATTAAATAAAATAAGTCAGGCACAGAAAGATAAATACCACATGATCTTCTTTGTATATGGAATCTTAAAAAAAAAAATTGAGCCCATAGAAGTAGAGACTAACATTATAGACATTAGAAGCCTGGAAGAGTAGCGGGGATTAGAGGATAGGAAGAGGTTGGTTATGGATACAAACTTACAGCCAAATCAAGAACCAAGTTCTAATGTTCTATTCCACTGTAGGGTGAATATAGTTAACAATAATGTATAAGTTCAGAAAGCTAGAAGAGAGGATTTTGAATGTTCCAAGCACAAAGACATGATAAATGTTTGAGGTGATGGATATGGTAATTACCCTGATTTGATCATCATACATTATATACATGTATCAAAATATCACTGTGTACCCCATAAATATGTGCAATTCTTATGTGTCAACTGAAAAGGAAAAAAAAAGAAATAGAATTGCTTCTCAGGTCTTCCTGATGGCAGCCTTCCCCCTTGGCTTTTCCTCCACCCTCCCTTGCTCACTCCAGGCTGTCTGCAGCACAGCCTTCCTCCCAGAGGACAGTGAGTGTCAACATGGCTCAGTTACTGGGCAGCCCACACCCTTCAAACTACTTCTCTTTGGGGACAGTGGAGGCCAAGTCTACCTCAGATCTGGCCAACCTCAGAGCTTCTCAGACTCTGCCCTCCAAATGCAGATTCACAGGAATTCCAGCCTCTGCAAGTTCGTCCCGCAGTTTTTCAGAGTCCCCAGGTGGCATCTGATGTGTAGCCACCACTTCCTGCCAGGCTGTGGCCCAGCTTAGGGCTGCCCACAGCCTGCGGCCTTGGCCTCCTGTGAGCCTGCATGAGCCTATGGCTGGGGCTGCCTTGGAAGACTCTGACCTCCCAGCCAAGGGCACGACTGGGAAGTCTCCAGGCCTTTCCAAAGCTACTGCCATCAACCCTGCCTCCATGGTCTATGCAGCTCTTCCCCACTCTATGCCCACCGAGAATGCCACTACCAACAGATGCCAGTGGAAGGGGTGCTGACCTGTTCTGCCAAAACCCTAGGGATGCAGAAGCAGCTTGGGATCTCCGGAGGCTGTGCTGCCCCCAGGGCATGAAGACCCCTGCCTTCACAGGGCAGCGTGGTGTGGGGGAGAGCCAGATGGCAGCAGCTTCCAGGCCAGTTATTGGACTCAGTGGCAGTGTAATTTCAGTCTTATTAGTTCTCTGTGCCTCACTTTCCTCATTTGTGAGATGCATATGCTAGCAGGACCAGCCCCATTGGGTCATGTGGCACTTAAATGGGTGTAACAGGTCTAAAGTGCTAAGAATTATCCTGCACACAGGAAGCACTAGCTGTTGGTTTGCTGTCATCCACCTTAGCCTCCTCTGGTGATCCCAGAGCTCAGCTGTCTGGGCTCCTCCAACTTTTCATAGCTTTCAGGGAGCAGCTCTTTGAGCTCTGCCAGGGGCCAGGCAGGAAGTCTGATCAGAGAGACCAGGATTCTGTTGATTTCAGCACCAGCTTCCTTCCAGGCCTCCGTTGTTGTTGAGTTGCTTCTTCTACCCCTCCAGGCTCTTCCTGCTTGGTGATTTATTTCTTACAGCCTCCTTGGTCATTTATGCAGGTTGACCATCAGCCACCCCGCTGTCCTCCAGACAGACACCAATGGGGTAGACTCTGAGAACCCCAGGCTGGAAGCTCTGCTCCATCAGCAGAGGCCAACCAAATTCCTGAGCCCCCACCCCACAAAGTGGGCCCCACTCTGGAGTCTGTGACGGCACAGACTTTGGGAGATGTTTGGGATTTGAGCCTCAGACTCTTCGTCAGACTTTTTAAGGGCCACACTCAAAACTGGGTTCTAGATTTGTGCCTTTTTGGAGGCACTGTGTCATAGTGACAAAGAACACAAGCCCACATTGTGTGTCCAACTCCAGGTTGGAGTCACAGCCTGCCACTTGCTGAGTGACACCTGGGCCAGTTGCCTCCTCCCTCAATTTTCCCATCTCTGAAATTGATATAATAATGCTCACCTTGTGTGGCTCTTATATAAATCAAATAGAAAACGTGTCTAAATGCCCGGAGACATGGTAGGTGCTCAGCATATTGGGGCTTCTACCTCTGCTGTCTCTTCTTCCTCTACTCCAGGTCACTGTCCTCACTGGAAAATTAAAAACATTGTCTCAGTGCCCGATCCCACCCCAGGCCTCTATCTTTGAGTTTTCTTCTAGGTCCCTTCCCAACTTTCACTGATTGGGAGCTCTTATTCTGACCAGTGGTTGGAGCTTCCCCTTACTAGGCTAAAGTGATGTGAATGCCCGGAGGCAGGCACCCAGCTTAGCTTCCTTTTTTTTTCTTCCTCCCAGGGAGTGCAATCTCTAAAACATGAGAATGGAGAGAAAAAGGAAGCAGTAGCAGCTAAGGATCTCAGTGCACCCCAAAGGGACCCCAGGAATGAGCAGCTTTGCAGTGTAGAGTCCTAAAAAAGTCAACCCCAGCATGAAGCAGCAAATCAGGTGCTCAGCGTTCAGAATGCTGGCAGGACTACCCCTCTCTGTCCCATGTACCCAGCATCCTGGTCTCACCACTCAGAAAGGAGGAAGAGCAGGCAGCCCATGAGCCCAGGAGAACTGCTTATTCAATGCCAAGTATGCCAGGCATTTACACATTTTGCACTTAACCCTCATAACCACCTGAGAGGTGAAGATTATTCCTCACCTGAGAGGTTAAGTGACTCGCCTGTGTTTACACAGGCTGGAGCTGAGATTTGAACTCTTTCCTCTGATCCCTGCTTAACTTTCAGCAGTAGTTCCCCACGTTTTCCATCTGCAGCTGCCCTTATGTCTTCCCTGTGATCTGCCTCTAAAAGAGAATGTCCTTCCTTGATGCTTTTAAAAATTTCTTGGATGAATTTTCCAGCTGTGGGAAATGGAGAGTGGAGAGGCAGGCTCAGGGCTGGGTATGTGAAGATGCAGAGAGATGTAGGGATATAACCCCCTGCGTTAGTCTATTTGTGCTGCTCTAACAAAACTCCTGAGACTGGAGGATTTATAAAGAACAGAAATGTATTTTCTTATAGTTCTGGAGGCTGGGAAGTTCAAGATCAAGATGCCAGCCAGGTCAAGGTCAGGTGGTCTGGTTCTCTCTGCCTCCAAGATGGTGGCTTGTTGCCATATCCTCATATGGCAGGAGGTGGAAGGGCAAGAGAAGAAGAGTGTTCCAGCTCCAGAAGAGAGAGAAAGAGAAAATTTACCTTTCCTGTGCCTTTTTGTTCTATCCAGGCCTCGGCCACTTGGATGGTGCCTGCCCACACTGGGTGAGGACAGGTCTTCCTCACTCAGCCCACTGATTCAAATGCCAGTCTCTTCTGAAAATACTCTCACAGACACACCCAGAAATAATGCATTACCGGCTATCTAGGTGTCCTTTAATCCAGTCAAGTCGACTCCTAAAATTAACCATCATACCCCTTGCTGCCATCTGCACAAGGCCCTGATCTGTTGGCCAGGCACTGAGCTCAGTGGATCGTAGTCTAGTTAGGCTGTCCTGACGAAGCCTTAGGACTTAGATAACATAGAGCTTTCCTTTATTTCGACAACTCCTATTAGAAATAGGGGCTGCTTGTGGCTGGGTGCTGTGGCTCACTCATATAATCCCAGTACTTTGGGAGGCTGAGGCAGGAGGATCACTTGAGGCCAGAAGTTCGAGACCAGGCTGGGTATGAAAGCAAGACTCCATCTCCACTACAAAAAATTAAAAAAATAAAAATTAATAAATAGCCGGGCATGGTGGCTTGTGACTGTAGTTCCAGCTACTTGGGAGGCTTAAGTGGGAGGATCGCTTGAGCCCAGGCTGCAGTGAGCTATGATCACCCTGCTGCACTCCAGCCTGGGTGAGAGAGTGTCTCTTAAAAAAGAAAAAGAAATAGTAGCTGCTTGGAATCTTGTCTTGAGAAGGACTTTAGGGCTGCATCTATAATCAATCAATCAATCAAGAGCTCTGTGAACCTCATTCCCATAATCAACCCCCCTAAAGCTGGTGAACAGTCCTCTTGTCAGTCATCTTTTGAAGTAGTGGCCCCTCCCTCAGACAGGAAACAGGAAGCCAGGAGATGAGTCCTAAGCCTTCGGAGGAGAAACTCCTGCCTCTCACTTTGCCTCACTTACTCGAATTTGGATGTTAGGTAAATGTGTCACGTTGAAAGGTACAGCAGGATGGTGGAGAAGGGGTGAGATCTAAAGGACTGGTTTCAGCTGGACAATGAGAGGGAATGGGGGAGCCCCAACAGGGGCTAGCATCATGTCAGATATCGTATTAGTCAGCATTCTCCAGAAAAACAGAACCAACAGGATTTCTCTCTCTCTCTCTTTCTCTGTAGCGAGATAGACTGAGAAAGTCATTTATTTTAAGGAATTGGCTCATGTGATTGTGGGAGCTGGCAAGTCCAAAATTTTGCAGTGCAGGCCAGCAGGCTGGAGATTCTAGTAAAAGTTGTTGCAGTCTGGAGACGGAATGCTTTCCTCTTCGGAGAACTTCAGTCTTTTCTCTTAAAGCCTTCAATTAATTGATGAGGCTCACCCACACTGTGGGAGGTAATCTGCTTTTCTCAAAGTCTATTGATTTAAATGTTAATCACATCTAAAAAATACCTTCATAAGGGAACAATAGACACTAGGGCCTACCTGAGGGTAGGGGATGAGGGGGCATGAAGACTGAAAAACTACCTGTTGGGTACTATGCTGTTTACCTGGTGACAAAATAATCTGTACACCACACTCCTGCGACATGCAATTTACTCATGTTACAAACCTGTATGTGTACCCCCGAACCTAAAATAAAAGTTGGAAAGAAAAAAAAAAAACCTTCTTTATAGCAACATCTAGACTAGTGTTTGATCAAACAACTGGGCACCATAGCCTGGCCAAGTTGACACATAAAATTAACCATCACTGGCCAGGCGCGGTGGGTCACACCTGTAATCCCAGTACTTTGGGAGGCCAAGGCGGGCGGATCACCTGCGGTCTGGAGTTCGAGGCCAGCCTGGCCAACATGGTGAAACCCCATCTCTACTAAAAATACAAAAAAATTAGCTGGGAGTGGTGGTGCATGCCTGTAATCCCAGCTACTCAGGAGGCTGAGGCAGGAGAATTGCTTGAACCCGGGAGGCAGGGGTTGCAGTGAGCCGAGATCGCACCACTGCACTCCAGTCTAGGCAACAGAGCGAAACTCTGTCTCAAAAAAAAAAAAAATTAACCATCACAGATATCTTAGGCGGCTGTCTCCCAAAGTACGCAACATATTCTGGTGTGCATGAGATGATCGTAAGTAGGACAGGGCAAGTGCATTAAATAATATTGATTATAGAGTGATTCTTTTACATTCATTTGAATCTTAATTACTTTAAAAAGAAAGGCTCCATTTGATATCAGCCCCTAACACTTCTGTAACACCTGTTACGTATAAAAAGGAAAACGGGGCCAGAATTCAGCTAGAAATTAATTACATTTGATCCTTGAACAATCTGGGACTTAGGGGCACTGAACCCCTATGCAGTCAAAAATCTCTGTGTAACTTTTGACTCCCCAAAAGCTTACTACTAATATCCCACTGTTGACCAGAAGCCTTACTGGTAACATAAACAGTCCATTAACGTGTATTTTATGTTATATTCTTATATATGATATTCTTACCATAAGTAAGCTTGAGAAAAGAAAAAATTATTAAGGAAACCATAAGGAAGAGAAAATGTACTTACTATTCATTAAGTGGAAGCAGATCATCATAAAGGTCATCATCCTTGTCATCTTCATGTTGAGTAGGCCCAGGAGGAGAAGGAAAAGGAGGAGTTGGTCTTGTTGTATGATGGGTGGCAGAGGTGGAAGAAAATCCATGTATAAGTGGATCCAAGTAGTTCCAGCCTGCATTGTTCAAGGGTGAACTGTACACTGTTTTGTTGTCATCAAATTTACTTTTATAGGGCAGAGCGTGGTGGCTTATGCCTGTAATCCCAGCACTTTGGGAGGCAGAGGCAGGCAGATCACCTGAGGTTAGGAGTCCAAGAGCAGCCTGGCCAACATGGTGAAAACTCATCTCTACTAAAATTACGAAAATTAACCGGTTGTGGTGGCAGGCACCTGTAGTCCCAGCTACTCAAGAGGCTGAGGAGGCAGGAGAATCGATTGAACCCGGAAGGCAGAAGTTGCAGTGAGTGGAGATCATGCCACTGCACTCCAGCCTGGGCAACAGAGCAAGACTCCATCTCAAAAAAAAAAAAAAAAAAAAGGAAAAAAAACACGAAAAGTACAGTGTGATAACCCAAGTAAGGGCAGGGTGGTTCTAGAGGGGGTTTCCTAGAGGAATTAATTTATAAGCAGATACCTGGATGATCAGTAGGAGTTAGCCTGGAGAAGAAGAGGGAGAGAATGTTCTGGACAGAGGGAATAGCATATGTACAAGGCTCAGGGGCAATAGAGAGCATAGCCCATTCTTGTGACTACAGTTAAAGCAGTGTTGGCCACAACATAGAGGGTGTGTCACAGGGCGAGGGAGGCAGTATGCAGGAACGGGACGCAAAGGGCTTCCTGAGCCTTGTTAGAAACATTGGGTTCCAGAAGGGCAGGATTAAAATGATCTTAGCCGCCCTCTGTGCTTGAAACGCACCCCAGATTCAGTAAGCCCTCCTATGCTGAATGAATGAATCCATTCCTCTCTGCTTGGTGAGTGACTTCAAGGTCCCATTGAACCACTTTATTTAAATAAGGGACTGCAAGGACCAGGGTCTCCACAGAGATCTTCAGGTACAGTTTCTCTGCCAATGTTGGCTTCCTGGAGGATCTGAAATCTTCCTTCTGTCCACAGGTGACCTGGTGTCCCGTGCAATGCATCACCTGCAGCCCCTCAATGCCAAGCACCACGGCAATGGCACCCCCCTGCACCACAAGCAGGGGGCACTGTACTGGGAGCCCGAGGCCCTGTACACCCTTTGCTATTTCATGCACTGCCCACAAATGGAATGGGAAAACCCCAACGTGGAGCCTTCCAAAGTCAACCTCCAGGTGGAAAGGTAAGAACTGCCTTGCCTTGCCTTGTGGTGGGTGGGTACTGCCTCCAGGGTGGGGCAAGTGTCCAGGATGGGGAGGATGATGGGGGTAGAAAGGACTCACTTCCTAAAACTTGCCAGAGTGGTCCCGGTGGGAACCTTGCACCCTGAGGGGATATCTTAGACCCGTGTGGGGGTCCTTGAAATGGGTTTTTATAGGGCTGGTTCTGTTTAGGATAAAACTGGCCTATGTCAGATAAGTGGGTCTGCAAATTCCAGAGGGTAAGGGCCTCTGCAGTGATGGGTGGTGTCCTCATGAAGGCAGTCTTGGAGGATGCCACCACCTCTCGTGGGAGTTATCTTCATCTTCTTTCATCCTGGCTGCCCCAGGGCCCGGGATAACCAGAAGCACCTACTCAGCCAGAAGTGGGCCTCTCAGGTGGGCAAGGGGCTTGATTGCCCAGGGAGAGGCAGTGTGACTGTTCTTTGAAGCCAAATCCTCATGGGGAAGGAAGGAACTGGGAGAGGACCCGGAGGCTGCCTGGAGGCCTCCTGTCTGCCTCCCCACTTCCTTTAGCGACGGATTAATAGATCCTCTCCCCACAGTGTCTCACGAATCAGGTCCCTCCTCCATACAGACTCATTCACTCTGAGTACTGTAGGTGTGACCCATTTATCAAAAAGAGAGGTTAAGAGAGCAGGCTCTGTGATCCTGACTGCCTAGGTTCAAATCCAGGCTTTTCTAATTAAAAGCTGGGGATCCTTGGGAAAGGCATCTGCAAAATAGGGATACAAAGAGTAAATTCTACATAGGGATGTTTGAAAATTTAATAAATTGAACAGTGCCCAGCACATAGTAGGTGCTCAATAAATGTTAACTTTTATTATTGTTGTTGTAGATATGATCTGCATATAGCTGAACAACTCCCAACTTGGGCTCCTACAGTTTTCCTTTCTGTTACTTGGTGCCAAGTGGTTTTGGAAAGCTCATTGGATGCTCTGCTTCTGCCAGATGGATTGGGGCTGAATTGGGCTGTCTTACAAAACCATGTCTCTTGGCTTTCAGTTAAGGGAAAAAGATGGAACATAGGCTATACGGAGGTTGCTGTTTCTTTTTTTCTTTTTCTTTTTCTTTTTTTTTGAGACAGGATCTCACTCTGTCACCCAGGCTAGGTAGAGTGCAGTGGCATGATCTCTGCTCACTGCAACCTCTGCCTCCCGGCTCAAGCGATTCTCATTCCTCAGCCCCCCTCAAGTAGCTGGGACTACAGTCATGCCCCACCACACCCAGCTAATTTTTGCATTTTTTTTGTAGAGACAGGGTTTCACCATGTTCCCCAGGCTGGTCCCAAACCCTGGGCTCAAGCAATCCTCCTGCCTCATCCCTCAAAGTGCTGGGATTACAGGGTGAGCAATCATGCCAGGCTACTTCTTCTTTTTATTTAAGAATCCCAACTCAACATCAATATTTCAATCCAGTCTGGAATTAACTTATTCAGGAAATTAACTCATTAAATTACTCAGGTCTCCCACCATCCACAACAAATCAGTCAGTACGTTGTGCATATTTTCACGTGCAAACATGCCCCAAATGGAGAGGTGGTAAAATGCCCATGGCCAAAAAATAATCTTTCAGACACACCAAAACTTTGCTGTCTCTGGGTACAAATGCTAAGAGTTGAGAGAATGGAAACTACTGGCCTCAGCCTATGGAGTGTCTAGCTCTTCACTCCTAGCCCCAACAGCCTGTCCAGCCGTGCAGTTTCTCTGGCTCAGCTCCCTCATGTCATCTCCTGCTCCCACCTCCATGCAGATGAGTCCGTCTCCCCGCTGCAGCTAGACACGGCCTCCTCTGAGCTCCAGAACCTTTTCATCTCACTCAGCCGACTTTCAGTTTCCACTGTCAAGTCTCATACTTGCAGGCTGATTCTTCTTCTCCTAGCATCTTATTCTTTTCTGCCTCATACTTAACGTAATTTGTAACTATGTGTGTATTTCTGTGTTTATTTATTGCCTGTAAAGCTTCATGAAGGCAGAGAACACATCTGTTTTGGCCATCACTCCTCAGTTGATGCCAAACTCAACATCTGGAGCAGAGTAGGAGGTCCACAAATATTTGTAGAATGAAAGAATGAGCAAACCTATTGATCTAAGTTCCTATGGGACATTTCCATCTGGAGAGCTCAAACTACCTCAAAACTAAAGCCATCATCTCTCCCCCAAAACCCACTGTTCCTCCTTTCTCCCCAGGCTCTAAGAATGTTACCACCATTGGCCTGGTCACCCCAGTCAGAAAACTGAGACTTGACTAGCACTCCTTCCTCTCCCTCACCATCTCCAGCTGGTCAGCAGGTCTTACTGAGGCTGCATCGTGAGATTTCTTTATTCCTTCCCTGCTAGACCACTGCCACTGCATGGCTCAGGACCCCATCTTTTCTACTTCAGTTTCTACTTTTGATGTCTACACGGTATCCTTGCATGTGAGCTTTAATAGTCTTCTGACCTTGGGAGGCTGAGGCAGGTGGATCACCTGAGGTCAGGAGTTTGAGACCAGCCTGGCCAACATGGTGAAACCCCATCTCTACTAAAAATACAAAAAATCAGCCAGGTGTGGTGGCACACACCTGTAGTCTTAGCTACTCAGGATGCTGAGGCAGGAGAATCGCTTGAACCCAGGAGGCGGAGGTAGCAGTGAGCCAAGATCAGGCTACTGCACTCCAGCCTAGGTGACAGAGTGAGATTCCATCTCAAAATAAATTTAAATTAAATTTAAAAATTTAAAAATCCTCTGACCAAGGCTGGGCACAGTGGCTCACACTTGTAATCCCAGCACTTTGGTAGGCCAAGGCGGGTGGATGACTTGAGCTCAGGAGTTCCAGACCAGCCTGGGCAACATGGCAAGACCCCATCTCTATGAAAAGTACAAAAATTAGCTGGGTGTGGTGGTGCTTGCCTGTAGTCCCAGCTACTTAGGGGGCTGAAGCAGGAGGATTGCTTGAGCCTGGGAGGTCGAGGCTGCAGTGAGCTGAGATTGCACCACTGCACTCCAACCTGGGTCACAAAGTAAGACCCTGTCTTGAAGAAGAAGGAGAAGAAGGAGAAGGGGGAGGGGGAGGGGGAGGAAGAAGAGGAAGAGGAAGAAGAAGAACAACAACAACCACAACCCTCTGATGAGCTCCATCTTCCTCACAGCTACCAGGCTGAAACTTCTAAAATGGAAGTCTCGCCATGTGACATCCTCCCTGCTCCTGCTCAGCACAGTTGCCCAGCTCCCATTATACTTTCTATTACACAGTGTCCATTTTCCCTCTTGAATCTCCTTCTGGACTCAGAGTGTAGTTGGAGTGGCTGGAAGTCAAAAAGGACCTTCTAATGCTTCCAAACCTTCTGGGACAAGTTTTAAAGAGGCACGAGCAGGGAAGGAGAGCAAAGAGAACATGTCCCAGAATTTGTCAGAGCCATTTATCTCATTCTTTCCATGCCTCTTTGGTTGAATTTTCAAGAGTCAGCACAAAACACAAAGTGGAACTTAGAGTTTTCCAGATTCTGTTCAGTGTGATCCTCTGGGAAGCATGTGGATTGGAAGTCATATAGTCCTTTAAATTTGAATCCCAGCTCGGCTTCTTGTAGCTCTGTTATTTCACCTCTTTGAACTTCCATTTGTCCTTCGTAAGGTGAGAACACAACCATCCTCATGAGACTGATGTGAGCAATGAATTAGACATTGTAGCTAAGACATCCAGTGCCATGCCTGGCACAAGGGGAGCCCCCTTCCTCCCTAAAGCAGTCACTCATATTATACTTTTTGGGCTCTAAAATGCTGTTTTCATTGTCCTTAAAGAAACCTGCCTGTGATTCTTTCTAGAGGGATCGTTATTTCTTCCGGCTCCCTGATGGAACAGGTTTTAGTGTTTAGCACTGGAAAACACATGTGGAAGAACTTCAGAGGCAAGGGGGCCTCTGTTTTCAGTCAAGTGTTTATTCACACCAGCTCTGTACCAAAGCCTCCAAAAGAGAATTTCCAATAGAAGTTAGGACTCTAATTTGGAGTTATTTCTTTCTCTCCTCTCTCCTGTGTTCTTTTTATCCTGCAATTCTATCAAACAGGATCATCTCCTTGACTATCATTATTCTGACAAAGTCAGGTAGGGCCATGATGCTTATATGGTTTTCCTCTAGACTATAAGCTCTTCAAGAACAGGGGCTGAATATTATTTGTTTTCATCTGTGCCCAACAGACGGCCTGGGAAATATTGGTGAAATATGGATTATTTTATGCCTCAAACCATCCTTTCTTGTCAGAACAGCCTTTCTTGGCTGAGGTATTTGGAAGTAGGCCTGCATGCACCATTTTACCATTTCATGTGGGCACAGCTTTGGAGTTGCTGCATTTGTTTTGGATAGTTTCGTTTTTCATTGTGGAATTTTGAAGAAGCTTAGTGCCAGTGTGAGATTTCTGTAGTCTAAGTTTTTCCAGAACTTTGGCTACTATTTCTTGAGCTTCTAAAATCATTCAGTTACCTCAGATATTTTTATTTTACAAAACTCAGACAAATTTTATAATATTTACGATTAGGTGATATTTATTTTCCAAATAGTAATGATAAATGAAAACACCTTAATTTTGATGGGAGGGGCCATGTGAGGGTACTGTTTTCAAAAAGAATCATCCTAAATCTAGAATAAGGTTTCTCTCACCTGTATCATTACCGGAAATATCCGTGATTCCTACATGTCTTTGGCCATGGATGATTTTAGTAATTTATTACCACAAGATGAAAAAAATAGTAGGATAAATGGGAGTATTTTGTTGCCTCAGGTAGCTAGCTGGTAATGCCTAGGGTAACTGTGAGCAGCTTCACTTGGAAAACTAGACAATTAAGTAGTTCTGCCCTCTTCCAGTCTCACTGAAAACAAACCAGAATTTATTCCTAGGTAGTGGTAGCTCTTGTTACTTTTGCAAACGGAATGTACAGACATTTATATCAGGGAAATGTCTGCCAGGGGAATCTCAACTATAAACATGAGTATACAATCACCAATCACCAACTGTTTGAGGAAAACTAATAATGTGAAACAAAATAATCTTAACAAATGGAAGAATTTACACTTGAAGAAACAGAGTTAATAAAACAGACATAACAGACATTAGCAGTGAATGACAACCAAATACATGTTCCATGATACTCACTCTACCAAAAGCTCACCCCAACACATTACATCTTAACATTTTTTATCTCTGTGATGTATGTGACAAGTGAGATTCAAACTTCAACTTACTCCTATGGACATACCTGCAGTTATGCAATAAGTCCAGCATGTTAGTTATAGCTCTACTCTGTTCTTTTCCTCTAAGGAATGTAAATCAGAATGCAAGTGAGTAGAGGTATCCTTGATACAAGCAGCACTACCAGTCAGGATACTTAGTTGCAAAAGCTGAACCTCTCATGACTGCTTAAAGCAGGAAGAAAACCTCTGGGAGGCCCAGTATGGGTAGAAGATTAACAAATCTTTTCCCCTTCTGCATGAAAATTTGACCTTGAATTAACTCTCTAGCTCTGTTCCCCTGGAGGAAACCTTATAAAAATTGCAGTGTCAACCCTTATGTTTCTGGGAAACATTGCTTATGGCCAGAATGATCCCAGATTGACAAATTACATCTGGCCTGGAGGTACCAGAAATATTGATAAAGACCCAGAGCTTTGGACTTCCCTTAATTTATTGACTCTCGTAACTAGCTGTGTCTTTTGAAGAGGCCTTGGAAGCTATTGCTATGGAGTTGTTACAAGAGATATTGGGGCTTGTAAAACAGGGCAGGGCACCTTGCACAATCACCCATGTAGATCTCAGCTCCTTGCACCTGCATGTCACCTGGACAGGAGATAAGTTCCTGATGACTGGGCGAACTGCTACAAGGGCTCCCACTGAAAGAATATCTGATACTGTCCTGCTGGGCCCAGGTAGCCTATGATAGTCCCATGAATCTAAGTGTTTAGTAGATCCTAATAAGACTTCTGGTGGGCATTGAAGCCAGAGGGCCAGGCTTTGAGGCTATATAACCAGGCTACATAACCTGGGATTGCACCCCAAGACTGCTCTAGCAGAGATCTCACAGCCACTAGTACTAGGCACAGACACTGGACCTCACACCACTGATGCTGGCCATTGAACACTCCAACAGGACCTGTCATTGTTTCCCCTAAAGGCTGAGTGTCTCTCTCACCACCCATATCAGCTCCATGTACCCCACATGTCACAGGACCTGCCTGGACCCTAACAAGGGAGTCTGGGAAGGTGAATTTCTACCTGGTAGAATTATGGACTCGTAATATGGAAAATTCTCTGAACACAGTAACATCATCGGTGGTTCTGGGAAGCTAAAAAAAAAAAAAAATGAAAAACAACAACAACAACAAAAAACTGACAAAATCCACTATATTCTTCTAATTTTCTTTCTTTCTTTCTTTCTTTTTTTTTTTTTTTGAGACAGAGTCTCAATCTGTCACCCAGGTTGGAGTGCAGTGGCGTGATTTCGGCTCACTGCAACCTCCGCCTTCCAGGTTCAAGCGATTCTCCCGCCTCGGCTTCCCAAATAGCTGGGACTACAGGTGCATGCTATCATGCCCAACTAATTTTTTTGTATTTTTAGTAGAGACAGGGTTTCACCATTTTGGCTAGACTGGTCTCAAACTCCTGACCTCAAGTGATCCGCCTGTCTCGGCCTCCCAAAGTGCTGGGATTACAGGTGTGAGCCACCGCACCCAGCCTCTGCTAATTTACTTTTAAAAAAATAAATAACCCACAAGTGAATCATTTGCACAGGCCAGCACTTATGACCATTATTAGTCACACAAGTCACAACTGACTGGCTTACACATCACAGTTGAGAACAAAAATACCACCCCAATGTAAGGACTCCTTGGTCTAACACCCTGGAAGCCTCAATAGCAAGAAGGAGAGAGGAGAGCCATTCCTGGTATCCTAAGCAGGGATTCAGAAGGTCTATTCTCAGAGGAAGAATGCTACTTCCTTATCTTCCTGAGGGAGCAATCACATCTGGCTCATTTTGCAGTCCCCTACAATGCCCAGCCCAGGGCTAATGGCTCTGGAGAAACTCAGAGTTGCTGGATGAATGGGGACATGCTAGAGCGAGAAGATGAGATATTAGATCTGTTTTCTGTAGACCTGGAATCTCAACCACCATATAAATGATTCCTAAGGAGAAAAAAAAATACATGTTGAATTCTAAATTATTGACCCAAAAAGCAAAGTTTTGAAACATGATCCATTTGTAACTTGAGCATTGTGGCAATTTATTTCCTCTGGCCATGGTAAAAACTGCTGTAGCTCCACTATGTTTCAGACTGCAGGTTACAGCCCATGAGTGGGCCATTACATCAATGTGCTAAAGGTTAGCTAACAACACCCTGCTGATAAATCTGGCCCACTGTCTGTTTTTACAAATAAAGTTTTATTGGAATACAACCACACTCATTTGTTTACATATTATTTATGGCTGCTTTTGCACTGTGACAGAGTTGGTTAGTTATGACAGAGACTTTAGGGTCCAGAAAGCTGAAAATAGTATTTGGCCCTTCCCAGAAGAAGTTTGCTGACCTCTAATGTGGGTTATAATCTTCTTTTTTTTTTTTTTGAGACAGAGTTTCACTCTTATTGCCCAGGCTGGAGTGCAATGGCACAATCTCTGCTCACTGCAACCTCCACCTCCCGGGTTCAAGTGATTCTCGTGCCTCAGCCTCCCGAGTAGCTGGGATTACAGGCATGCACCACCATGCCCGGCTAATTTTGTATTTTTAGTAGAGATGGGGTTTCACCATGTTGGTCAGGCTGGTCTCAAACTCCTGACCTCGGGTGATCCGCCTTCCTCGTTCTCCCAAAGTGCTGGGATTACAGGCGTGAGCCACCGTGCCCAGCCATAATCTTCCTTTTCAGAAAAATCAGTGAGAATTAAATTTTTAAAATCAGAGTAGTTTTTGCCCCAGTTATATTAACCTAACTGAAGTTGATTTCTTGCCCAAGGCCATACCTGAAGTTGGAGAAGGAATACTTGAACCTTTGGAGTCAAGCCCTGGTCTGGGCTCCTAGCCATTAGTCTGTTTTGCTTCCATAGGCAGTGGTTTTAAAGAAATAAAGTTTGAAAGCCTCATCCCCAGTCCCTATAATTTTTTTCATAATCTTCATTAGTATTTGCAGGGTATAAAATGAATACACTTATTAAATAAAATGTGACAAGTCCAAAAAATCTAAAGAAGGAACTTTGAATGACTCCTAGTCTCCGTATCCAGCGATAAGCACTATGACTATATAAGGCATTTCCTTCTAGTCTAGTTTTCTGCGTACATACAACAGCTTTTGGTTGTTTCACAATATAGGATCCAGATACTACACCTACTTTTGTTGATTTGTGCCATTGGATAGCCTTCAAAAGCATGACTTGTTTGTTCTGTCATTGGACATGAAATTTAGTCAAAAGAGATCTTAGAACAGAGAAAGTTCACTTCTTTCATGCCAAAGTTAATGAAATCGAAGCCCAGAGTGATGAGGGACTTGGATGGAGTCACGAGCACATTTCTAGAGGCTTTGCAAGGCAGTGCCTCCGTGCCTTTACTTATGTTTTGCCCTCTTGAAATGCTTCCTTCCCTCTGTGCCATCCTCTAGCTACCTCCTTAAGTTCATACTTCAAGATCCAATTTAGGCATCACCCCCAGAAACCCTTCCCTACCACTTCAGATTGTACTAAATGATCAGTGCATAGCATATAGTAAGTGCTCAATAAATACTTGCAGAACTGAACAGAGCTGGGCCTGAAACCTAGGTGTTCCTGCTTCCAGCCCAGAGAGCCATGTTGCCGAATCAACTCAGGCAGTCCTCATTTTGGTACTGGTTCTTGCATTCAAGTGCTGTGTGACCTCAAGGCTTCAGTTTCTTCAGCTGTGAACAAGAAATAATAATTTATACTTCATGGGGTTGTTTCAGTGACAAATGAACTAACTAACATAAGTGTCATGCATGATCATTGACACCATGGTGGGTGATCCATGAATGGTGGGGATTATTCTCTACTCCCTTAATCCAGATTGATCTCTTCTTTGATATTGCAAGAGATTTTGATGAACACTTACAAATGTGGCAGGCCCTGCTCTAAATACTTTATGTGTATTAACTCATTCAGTCCTCCCAATACTCCTTGAGGCAGGAGCAGATAGCCTTACCTCTTCCCATTTTACAGATGAGGAAACTGAGATGCAACACGGTCATGTAAGTTGCCCAAGGTCATGCACATTGGGGCAACTCTATAAGTATCACAAATGTCAAATGAGTGCTGGGTGACTATAGGGAAGGGAGCTACATGCTAAGGGGACAGAATATGCACCACCGGGGGAGGAAGGTGAGTGCACAGAGAGTGAGACCTTGTCCAGAAGAGGCTTTGGATGCAGCCCCAGACCAAGCTGGAAGGAAGGTTGAGAGACTTGATAAGGTGGCAGGACGTTCTCCTGTAGGCAGTGAAGAATTCAGAAGAGACTGGGCGTGGTGGCTCAAACCTGTAATCCCAGCATTTTGGGAGGCCAAGGCAGGCAGATCACTTGAGGGCAGGAATTCAAGACCATCCTGGCCAACATGGCAAAACCCCATCTCTACTAAAAATACAAAAAATTAGGTAGGCATCGTGGCACATGCCTGTAGTCCCAGCTACTTGGGAGGCTGAGGCACAAGAATCACTTGAACCCGGGAGGTGGAGGTAGCAGTGAGCCAAGATTGTGCCACTGCAGTCCAGCCTGAGTGACAGAGCAAGACTGTCTTGAGAGAGAGAGAGAGAAGAGGAATTCAGAAGACTCAGAAAGGGATGCTGAGCAGGGAGGTAAGAGACCAGAACTGTGTCTGAGACCTCAGTAGAAGCATAAGGGATGGTAACGGAGAGTACTGAACATTTGATGAGCGTCTACTATGTGTCATGTACTGTGTGAGACACTTTACATACAGAGTTTAATTTAACCCCCACATCAACCTTGTGAAGTAGGTTATGTCTCACCTGCAGATGAGAACATTAAGTCTTTGATCCTAAATTGTTGCTTAGTAGGAACATGTTATTTGGAACCTAAGGATCGTCATAGCACATTTTTTATTTTTAATTAATAATATTTAGATATGCTTATGGGGTACAGTGTGCTATTTCAATACATGTATACATCAATTAGGAAGAATAGTTCTAGATTTTTTTTTTTATTCTAGAGCCAGAATGCCTAGGTGAATATTCAGAGCTCTAATACTCATTAGCTGTGTGGCCTTAAATAAGTTACTTAACCACTCTGAGCCTCAGTCTCCTTATCTGTAAAATGGAAGATAATCATAGAATCTACTTCAGAGGGCTGTTATTAAGCAGTTTTGTGTTAATATATTTAAAGCACTTAAAACTCAGCACACATTAGCCTTTTTATAGATAATAGCCGTTACTATTCTCACTGTCATGGTGTTTATGGCCTGGATATATATTCTAGCAGAGCCTCTCAAACATTAATGACTTGAATCACCTGGGATCTTCTTAAAATGCAGATCCTATTCATTAGGACTGGGGTGGGGCCTGAGAGTCTCTGTTTCTAACAAGCTCCCAGGTGAGGCTGTTGCTGCTGGTTCAGGGACAACACTGTGAATAACAAGGTATAGTTGTTTTTTGTGCATGTGTCTTATCTCTGTTCCTTAACCGAAAACAACCTCCATTTTTAAGTTACCTAAAGGCAAGAAATCAGCTTTTGTAGTGACTTTTGTCTCCCTGGTAGAGCTTAGCCTGTCATAGGTGCTTATAAATATTCCTCAGACTTTGGGGGCTGGAGTGAGCCTTGCAGGGCCTCGACTCCCCTTCCCTCATGTGAGGCTGGATCCCTCTGCAGTTTGCTGAAATGAGTGGGTCCCCAAGGTCAGACGTGGCCAGCCTGCAGAACTCTCAGGCTTTGGAGCAGCAGCTGCCAAGTGATAGCTTCGAGCATCCCAATTTAATGATCATCCTTAGCCTAACAAGGCAGCCAGCTCCTCTAACATGGCTCAGGAATGGCAAATGAGTGACAAGCTGTGCCAGGAAAAGGTGAGGCAGGATTAGATAGGTGTCCTCCCTGGGGACAGCATCAGGGCAAATCCCAAACTTCACCCACTTCAGGGCTGTTAAACACCTCTGGCCTCCAGGGCTTGTCAAACAGCTTCTACTCGGTTGCCAAGGAGTTCTCAGCCGAGGGGTAGAAATTGTTTCTGACCACAGGTGACAAGCTACGAGGTTCAAGTTTAAGAAACAGCTCTCTCTCACAACGTGCATGTTTAGTCTGATCAGATGGATAGGCTGCACTTGTTAATTTCAATGTCCAGGTCTTTTTGGAATCCAACTAAACTGGCTGCCACATCAATCTAGTTTGGTCTAATACCAGCTTCTCTTTATTTCATGGGAAAACGGAAAAAAAATCTGACTTCTATGACACAAAGACTAAGGAACCAGAGCTGCACTGTCCAGCATGGTCACCACTAACCGTGTGTGGCTATTTACGTTTAAATTGATTCAAATTAAATAAACTCCTCTATACCATGCGCCTCATTTCAGATGCTTGACAGCTGCATGTGGCTCAGTGGCTCCTGTATTGTACAGCATAGGACATTCCCATCATCACAGAAACTTCTATGGGACATCCCTGAATTAGAGACTCAATGCAGGTAGTATCCCCCTTCCAGAAAAACAGACTGAAAATCCCACTCTCAAAGCAACAGAGAAGGATTCATTGTAGAGACCAGGGACCAACTCACCTACTGAAACATATGCCACATGACTGTGTTTTGATCCTCTTAGAGCTGAGTTTCTTAAAGCAGCCATCATCATCATCACCATCTCATTTTGCCAGGTGTTTATGATGTGTCAGGCTGTCTTCTAAGTGCCTTAGCTCATTGAATTCTCACAAGAATCTTATGAGTCTGTCAGCATCAATTTTTTTTTTTTTTTTTGAGGCAGAGTTTCGCTCTTGTTGCCAGGCTGGAGTGCAATGGTGCGATCTCGGCTCACCGCAACCTCCGCCTCCCAGGTTCAAGCAATTCTCCTACCTCAGTCTCCCAAGTAGCTGGGATTACAGGCATGCACCACCACACCTAGCTAATTTTTTGTATTTTTAGTAGAGACAGGGTTTTTCCATGTTGGTCAGGCTGGTCTCCAACTCCCAACCTCAGGTGATCCACCCACCTCAGCCTCCCAGAGTGCTGGGATTACAGGCATGAGCCACCACACTATTGCCCTATCTGTCTTGCTGATGAGGATCTTCAGGCTCAGAGAGGTTATGTAGCTTACCCAGGTCATATAGCTATCACCAGGCAGAACTGGGATGCAAAGGCAGGAGGCTTGAGTGCAGAGTTCACCCTCTCAACTGCATCCCATGCTGGGATGAGATGAGAAGGATGCAGGGTATAGAGAGAGGGCAGAAGAGTCTGTGTGAAGGTGAAATGTCTGAAAATCTAAGGCCAAAAACATTCTTGCCTTAATGTACATCGCCCTTCATCTTCCCTTTTTCCTTTTAGTTTTGTCCCTGGCTTAGGAGCAACAAATATTGCTAATAAAAGTGGAATAGTGGGCCGGGCATGGTGGTTCACGCCTGTAATCTCAGCAATTTGGGAGGCTAAGGTGGGTGGATCACCTGAGGTCAGGAGTTCGAGACCAGTCTGACCAAGATGGCAAAACCCCCATCTCTACTAAAAATACAAAAATTAGCTGGGCATGGTGGCATGTGACTGTAATCCAAGCTACTCGGGAGGCTGAGGCAGGAGAATTGCTTGAACCTGGGAGGTGGAGGTTGAAGTGAGCTGAGATCGCGCCATTGCACTTCAGTCTGTGCGACAGAGTGAGACTCTGTCTCAAAAAAAAAAGTGGTATAATGATAATCAAATCACTCCATCCGATTGGACAGCCTTTGAGAAACATGTTAATCTCCTGACACAAATTGCTATATACAGTGATACGTTGCTTAACAATGAGGATACATTCTGAGAAATGCATCATTAGGTGATTTTGTCATTGTGGGAACATTGTAGAGTGTACTTACGTAAACCCAGCTAGTATAGCCTCGCCTCCACACCTAAGCTACATGGTAGAGCCTGTGGCTCCCAGGCTACAAACCTGTCTAGCATGTTACTCTACCGAATACTGTAGGAAATTAACATAGTGGCATTTGTGTGTCTAAACAGATCTAAACCTAGAAAAGCTGCAATAAAAATGCAGTATTATAATCTTATGGGACCACCATCATATATGAGGTCTGTTACTGACCAAAATGTCATTATCATACAGTACATGACTGTATATAAATAAACGCAGAACCTGCTTCTTAAATCTTTACTTCAATATTACTTGAGCTTTTCATTTTTCATTTTATTTTAATTTTTTTCATGGTTGATTCTATTTATTATTAAGCTTTTATCAGCCAGTCGTTCATTTAGTCAATCCATAAGCATGCATTAAGTGCCAGCTATAAGCACAATAATAGTGAGAGATAATATTCATCAAATTATTTGTGTGCCAGGCACCATTCTAAGTACTTTACATGAATTAACTCATTTATCCCCCATGATAACTCCATGAGGTATGTATTATTATTGTCATCCCCGTTTTACAGATAGACAAAGTGAGGCTGAGGATAGCTAATTTGCCCAAGATCACAGGGACTGGAAGTGGTAGCACAGGGATTCAGGCCCAGCAGGCTGGCTCCAGAACTTGCTTCCTTTGCCACCATACTTTTGCTGCTGTGTGTCCAGCCCTTTGCCAGGGAGGGGGGACTCCGGGAGGCCTCACATGACTCCCGTTCAGCACAGCCAGAATGGAGAAAGAGTGCAGTGTCAGAAGGGAACTGCTGGGAATGGGACAGATCAGGGAAGGTGGTATTTGAATCGGACTTTGAAAGATGAATAGGACTTTGAAAGATGAATAAAACCAGCCATTTGAGGATTGGAAATTGGGAAGGTGTTCTAGGTGAGAGGAGCAGCTGTCAAAGGTTCCAGGTAGGAAATCCAGAGATAGTGGGGGACGCATAGACCAACTGAGACAGACTGGCTTGGGGGCTGGACTGCCCATCAGCTCGTTTGCAGAGGTGCAGCTGTTTAACCAGTTATTAAAATGCTGAAATGCTTCTCTCTATGGGTTAGTAAAAAGCCACTGCCTCAAGTGCTCCCAAAGCCACGATGTCCCTGCCATCCAGCAACAACAGCTTGGCATCTGGCCCTGCAGGTGCTCCAGGATGCCCTGTCTGCGCTGAGGCTGTAGGAGTTGATCGGTGCCTGAGCCTTAACAGTAGTTAAATATTTAGAATATCATCCTGAGTTGAGAGTGTCGGGGAGAAGATTTTTGTCTGCAGGTGTCATGGGGGCCTTTGATCCTTTGACAGCAGGGTTAGGGTTGAAGGTTTGGATTGGGGAGAAGCATAAGCAAAATCCAAATGCCTCTGCTCATCCTTCAGGACTCAGCTGCATCCCCACCTCTCCCGTGAAAGATTTGCTGACCTGCGCCCCTGGCAGGAGAAGGCCTCCTCTGTTCACAACCCCTTCAGTGAATAATTTTAATAGTCCTTGAGTGCCAGCTCATGCCAGGCCCTGTGACGAGAGCTTTTCCAGAGAATTCCACTTAAACTTCACAGTCATTCTCTCAGCTACTGTTATTTTGCCTATTTAACAGATGAGAAGAGTGAGGAGATGTTCTGGGGCTTGCCCAAGGTCACACAGCTAAGTTAGGATGTGGCAGGGCTGGACGTTGAGCCCCAGCACTGTGATCCCAGAGCCTGCGTCCTCTTGCCCACCCCCCGTGGGGCCCCATGACTGCTCTGGCATTATTTGCTTCCATGTCTGTCTCCACTGCCAAACTTTGAGCTCTGCACAAGCAGGGACTGGGCTTTGATCATTTCTCTCACTTTCTGACAGCCAGACAAGGCCTGGCACAGAGTGGGTGGGGAAGAGAAGGATCAGTTAGGACCTAGCCCCAGGGGACTGGAGCAGAGAGAGATGTAGGGACCAGCTGGATGCTTCCTGCAAGAGTCCCAAAGAGAGATGACAAGCCCATGGCTGAGTGAGTGTCATCCTCAGTGTCTCCCAGAGAGAGATCACCAGTTGGCCTCCTCCTTTCTCCCGAATGGTCCCAAGGGAAGCCACATTGGCCTCCCCAGGTTGTTGGCTTGCTCTCATTTGCCTGGAACTGACAGCCCCGTGTGTGCTGTGTGTCTGGGGCCAACACTCAGGGGGAAAAAACAACATTAGCGAATATTAGCCCTTGAAGCTGCCCAGTGCAAACTGAGGCTGGCCCAGCATGGCAGGAACCAATGGAAGCCTGGTGCCCAAATGCCTGGGAGCAGAGGGGCCTGCAGAGAGAAAGCACTGTCTGAGCTCATCCCACTTTTGAACCATCTGCCCCTGCACCAAGTTTCCACTCTTTTTTTATCCTTTCAGAAATAGTGATATTGACAGCTGCCAGCACGCAGCTGGTTTTCACATGTTATGGGAAGTAGCCCCGGCAGTAAATTTGGTCATTTGCCCAGTAGACATGGTATCTGAGTTGAATGTGTATTCTTCAAAGTCTGACTTCACAAACAAACCCTCTACAGGTATACAGTTCCCTGGATTTTTATTGATTTAATTACATTTTCCCCATCCCTCCATTTTGCTCTCCTCACAGACTACATCTTTTTATACCTACAATAAAAGGTGCTATGAATTCAATTTTTTTTTTTACTGAAAAGTTATATATGCTTGTTTTTTAAATTTTGGAAACTACAGGAAAATATAAGGAAGAAAATTAAAATTATTTATAATTCTGCTACCCTGAGGTAGCCAAAATCATTATTTAGTTTATTGTCTTATCTTTTTTTAATATAAATAGGGAAGGTTTTGAACATAGTTACACTGTGTATATATAATTTTGTGTCTTATTTTTATTTCACTTAATAGCATACCATAAGCATATTCCTGGTAGTACTATAGAACATTCATAAACATTCTTAATGACTGCAGAATATTCCATCATGTGACTGTACCGTAATTTGCCTAATGGCTCCAGGGTTCGTGGCCATTTGAGTTGTTTCCAGTGTGCGAATTACTGTTCTTTTAAAACTACCCACAGTGGTGTGACTAAAACATCAATGGAGAGGAAATGGTTATGAAGAGAGTAGTCAGCTTGTAGTAGAGCAACTGAGGGGTTAATTCACAGGCCCTCTGTTGGCCTGTAGGAGGAAGAAACTACAAAAGGAGAACCCTGGGAGGGAGCCTCACCCACCCCAATCCCAGCTGTTGCTTTTTTTCCAGGAAGCAAGGCCTTATGGGAAGTGTAGGGAACAATGGCATCTGCCTGGCCTGCAAGCTTTCTAGAGCAACAGTAATGATCAGAATCTCTTGGAGTGAGCACTTCCATACTCAGGATCTCCCTCTATTCTCACAGCAAAACCGGAAACTGGGAAGATCGCTTTTCACATCTCCAGAGACTGACTCTAAAAAAGTCATGAGATTTGCCCCAAGTTATGCAGTGAGTGGCCAAACTGAAACCAGAGGGCTGCTCTAGGGATTGCCGGTAATCTCCTCCCTCTCTTTCTGGATTGCTTCTAGAATGGAAAGTAGCATGGCAGCCTCATCAGAAAGCAAGTTTTGAGCTTGTTCTGTGGACAAAGTTCATTGCACGTGCACTTGGCCAAGTCTACAGATGAGGAAAACACCACAATTCCAGGAGGTTTTTGTTTGTTTGGTGGCTGTGTTTGTTTGTGTCTAATTCTGGATTTTAAAATGTGGCTCTATCTTATGTTTTCTGTGTGTATAAGAAGCATCACCTGTGATGGCTTTCTCAGTTCTTTCAAACTAGAGTGAGGAATTCGGTCAAGAGTTAGCCAGTCAGGTTCAGACCTGCTCAGGAATTTAGGCCAAGTGTGCTGGCGGAAGAAGGTGGATGTGTCCCCAGGCTTCCATTCTCTTCTCACTGGTAAATTCAAACTTCCCACCTGGAGCAAGCTCTTTTTGCAGTCCTTTGTCCCGTTGCTCTGTATTAGTCCCTTACATAGAATCCCGCCCTCTCCTTGCACAGCCACACCCCAGACCCTGGGGCAGCAAGGTGGGGAAAGCATATTTTTGTGATTCAGAAAGGAAACTAGTAAAAGGAAACTAAAGACCAACTTGTTGAAAACACTGAGCATCCACTGCCTCTAAAATCCTTTCTGGAAGTACTGTCCCTCTTCAGACTCCAGAGCACTTTACAGCAACATCCCACAAGGCACTTTTCATGGTCTGCCTTGCATGAGAGTTATCTGCTTTTCTTTCCTTGATAGCCACTTAATGCCCCAGTCCACCAGTAAAAAGTCCGATCTAACAGATACACAAGTATAATTGAGGAGTATAATTATAATTTAAAAAGTCAAACAGACTTTATGCAATTGGGACTGCCCTGGAAAGTCAGGGGTGTACAGTCACAGTAAACCTCCTTGCTAGATTGAACACCAGAGACCAGGTTTTAAATCCTTGTGTCCTCCATAAAACTCAACACAGACCCTTGCTCCAAGGAGGGAGTTAATAAATCGGGAACCAGTTAAGTGCTCAGTCTGCTCCATAAACCGCTCTCCCCGTTCATGTATTTATTAATTTATCGGGTTCCTCTTACTCCCCCCTCTTACTCCTTAAGCTACTCCAATTCACACAGAATCCCCTGAAACTGCCCTACATTTTTTCACCTGATTCCTTCTGCCTGGATTCTTTTCCTAAACGCTTCTGCCTCCCTGGTCCAGACTCAGGGCAGCATTTCCCAGCACACTCACTCCCTTCAACTGTGGCTGATTTAGATGCTCCTACTTCCTTCTCCCATTAGACTTTGTGCATTCCTTTATCATAAAGCTTTTCGGAAGGTGGCATAATAGCTTCTTTTCTCATGCTTTTCACATTAGACCTTGAGTTCACTGGGTACTGGGACCTCTGCAGTATCACCAGGTATAGAACCAGGTACACAGAAGGTACTTACTTATTCTTTCATCCATTCAACATATATTTATAGAGCATTTACCATACAACAGGCAAAATATCTGCCTTTGTGGAGCTTACATTCTACCAAAGGAGACAAAAAAGGAACAAATGCATAAATAATACAAATATCAGGCACAGAGAAGTAGCATACAGAGAAATCAAACTGGGTACTCAAACCAAGAACAACTTCTGAAAAGTGCTATTTTAGGTAGAGTGGTCAGAGAAGTTTTCTCTAAGGAGACAGCATTGGAGCAGAGATCTAAAGAAAGTGAAGCAGCAAGCCATATGGATATCTGAGGAAAGATATTGCCAGGCAGAGAGAACAGTAAGTGCAAAGGCTCTGGGGCAGAAACATTCTTGGCACATGCCAGGACCAGCAAGGAGGCTGGAATAGAGTAAGTGAGTGGGGAGTGTGATCAGAGATGAGTCCAAGGTGGGCAGGGTCAGATCCTACAGGTCCCCTTAGGCCTGCAAAGGGACCTGATTTCTATTCCATATGTGACAAGAAGCTCAGTACATTTTTGTCAGATTGAATTATTTGAGATGAGTTGAACTAAAACAAATTGGGCATTGTCTTAGTATAGGCTCTAAACCATTGTTTGAATCCCGCAGTATCCTAAGTCTGCTCTCCTTGCCTACAAACACAAAAGCACTAGGAACAGTACCATTTAGCAGTTTGGAAACCTATTTGTGTGTGAGTTTGCCTGTTCTGGAATTAGCACAGCCTTGTGATTGTTCCCAAAGCCTTTTGGCCAGTGACACTTTTGCCAGCCTTTCCTATATGGACCAGTTTCATTGTGCTGGCAGATCTGGACCAGGGAACATCTGAATGCAAGAGGAATATGGTCCTAACGCCAGTCTGACATTTCTGTTTCATTTCTGTCTTTCCCAGACTCTGAAGTCTTTGAGGGTCACTGGGATTTATTCTGGGCCCTTAGCAGGGTCCTGGGCCCGACTCTTAACATAGTTTTTATCCAAGCCTGGTTCTCATTAAATCTTAATTATGTGAAATTCCTACACTTAATGCAACTGAAAATAAGGCACACTTTGCTATTTTTATCATTTTCCTTAGTCTTTATAAACCATTCCAGCGAACCATTCCCTGGAGTAAAGTGGGAAAACCACCAGAATTTAAGCTAAGCAAATTCACAGAACTCAATTGTACATTCATTAATTCATTTAACAATCATTCATTCACTCAAAGAAAGGTGATTGAGAACCTACAAAGTACCAGCACTGTTCGAAGTTCTGGGGAGATAGCAGAACACATGGTAAGCTTCTGCTCTTATGAAGCTGACAGTCTAGCAGAGGAGACAGAACAAACCAGGAAACTCATAAAATGTCATCTTGAGCAGTGATAAGTGCTACTATGTGCAAGTCTAGAGGATACAAAGATGAACAATTCATGCCCCTACAATTCATGTGGTTGCGGTGGCGGTGAAGACATAAGTTATAACAAAGGTATGATATATGGTATTGGGCATTGTGCACAGAGTCCTATGGAGGAAGAGGGAAAAAAAAAACTATTGTGGTTATGGAGGGCTCTTGGAGAACTCTTGAAGAGGTGACATTGGATCAGTATCTTGAAAAATAGGTAGGATTGTACTGGATGGAAAGGGTAGAAAGAGAAAGGAAACAAGAGCAGAGGCCAAGACAGGGAGAGATGAACAAACACAGTGTATTCCCAAAATGCCTGGTCATTTGCTGTGACCACAGCACGTTGGTGCTAGATAGGCATGGAATGGGAGCATGACAGATGCGAATGTAGGTTGAGGCTAATTAATAAATGGCCAGGCTGAAAAATCTGTGCTATAATTGGACGACCAGATTTCCATGTTAGTGCATTTATCCTGGCAGCAATGTGAAAGGATTGAAGAGAGAAACTGGAATCAGGAAATTATCATGAAAATAATGCAATGGTCTGATCTTAAAATGAGTCTCTCTCTCTCTCTATCTATCTCTCTGTGTGTGTGTGTGTGTGTGTGTGTGTGTGTGTGTGTGTGTGTGTGTTTGGCTAATCAGTTAAATTGAGAGTGTTAGACTCTTAGGGTTGGGAGGGGCTCTGAAAGTCATGTAGTCCTTCCACCCATTGTATGTTTGACTCTCCTTTCCAACATCCTTCCCAAAGGATCACTCAACCAAGACACCAGTCTTTAAGACTTCCCATCCCAGCTTTAGAGAGCCAAGACTCACTCATGTGGAACAGAGATCTGCTCCCTGGAGCTACCACCAGTACTACTTTTTCTCCTTGAGGCTTAAAGACCCAGTCTAATCTCTAATTTGGTGCAGCTTCGCATTATTTAAAAGCAGCTGAAATTTCCTGAGCATCTCTGTGAGCTAGGCATGCCTGCAGGGCACGTATCACCCCATTTCCAGATTGGAACCTTGGGTTCATTGGCCATGTGACTTGCTGAAATTTGGTCATTGACCCAATTATTTGGCAGCACTAGGATCAAAACCCAAAGCTCTCTAGCTCCAGAGCCTGCACTCTTGGAAACAACTATCAATTTAACCCAACAAACATTTATTTAGCACTGACTGATGCGAAATCTCCTGTCCTGGGTATTAAAGAACGGGATGGAACCAGTAAGGAGCAAGCATGGTTACTGTATTCCAGGGATTCCCACTCTAGAGATTTAGACAGTGGAGTCCACACTCAAGCATTATAATAATGTCTATTTGGCTTTGCTTGCAGTCTGGGCTATTCCAGAAGAGGAAAGTAATTTCTGTTTAGCCCATTGCACAGGCCTTGTTTCCTACTTGTTACACTGGGGCAAGCCCCATGCAGGAGCCATCTCCACAGAGTCCATACCCAGGAAAAATGATCTGTATGCTGGAAGGATACAGGAGGGGGATGTACCTGGAAAGGTGCAAGGCATGTGACTGGTGTATATAACTAGATTTGAGCAAAGCAAAACTTCAACTTGGACACATCCCAGAGATGAGCAAAGAGGAAGATATAGCAAGACCGAGAGAGGCTGGGAAGCTGGAAACAGGAGAACAGGTGCAAAGAACTGATGGGAAAGCCTTCAGAACCAAGCCTGTGCACTGAGCACGTATGCAGGAGCTCCCCTGTTAGGCACTTTGTGGTATTGCTGTGCTACAGCTGTGGCTGCAGGACTTGAAGGAAATGGGCCCAACCCTGACATTGTTGGCATCTTTGTTCGCTGATTTTTTTTTTCTGAATCTAATGTTGTGTTTGTCTTCATCTAATGTTTAAATTTGTGACAATTCTGACTATATGTGCTGTATGCCAGACGTAGATGAAGATTCCTGAATGTAAATCTTCCATATAATTGTACTTCCACCCCTGCTATTTCATTTCCCCTCTGTTATTCTCACTCTTTAGGGGAGAGAAGCACCAAAGGGTTAGGAGACATCTGTGCCTTCTCCATGCACCTTGCACCAGTTCCCATTCAGAGCCAGCTGCCATACCCCAGCCAAATCCAAACACTCCCCCACTTTCCAGCCTGCACCCCTCCATCTCCTGACCTCACAAGGCCTCCATCTCTTGGTGAGATCTGCTTTGGTTCTTCCTTGGTCGTGAGCTTTACACTCACCCCCTCGTTGGTAGTTGCTCTGCCACCCTACAGCCGGCCCCAGAAATCAACCCCTTTCCTTGGAGGGAGGGACTTCAGGATTCTCCTGAGAAGGAATTAGACAAGTAGGCAGGCAGGGGCACACGTGGTCCCCTTTCCATCTCACCAGATACTCAGCCCTGAATATTTTGCCAGTGTCCACGGAGTGAGAGGCCCTGAAGTCCTGACCTGTTCAAAGAGTCCTTCCCTATATAGTACCAATGTCCAGCTTAGTAAGTAGCCCTTTTGATTTTCCTTTTATTAAAATCACAAGCTTCCTTCCTGGTTTCTGTCATCCCTCACCTCCAGATTCAGCAAAATGTAAAATCGGTAACATCTAGACTGCGAAGTAAATTGCGTGTATGTTTCCTTCTTGCGCACATAGAGGTCCCATAAATCTGCTAAATAGCCAAATGGTGGTTTTGTGCAGGCACCAGAAATTGCCTCTTTTCCTGCTCTTATCTTTTCCTTGATTTTTAATTCTTCTAGAGATTTCTCTTTTCTTTCCTTCCTTTCTCTGTGTTCCTTTTTTATTTTTCTTTTTACCAGAAAATTCTATCCCATTCCCATCCCCTACTTCCTCAAAGGAACCTTCTCTTTCTACGTGGTGTCATTATGTTTTCTTATTCTTATTATCCCAGTTATTCTTGGAGCTTTGGTGCAACCTGAGACAAATGATGTTTATTTATTCATCATTTATAACCAATTTAACTCTGAAAGGGACTTGAGCCAGACTCACAGTATGAGTTAGTTATAACAGAATTACTAAACAAAGATAGCAATGTAAAAAACATGTCATTAAGAGTAAGGAAGACTGCTGTAGCAGAAAATCTCTCCGAAGGTTTGTTACTGCAATTTAACACAAAATTTAGCATTGAGTTTCTTAGCCGCCAAGGCAAAACAGGAAACAGGCATGATGTAGCTTTCATCATCTAATTTAAATACACACACACACACACACACACACACACACACACACAAACATCTTTACCAAAACACAGTTCATGAAAGATCTTTTCTGACTGCAGCAAGTTCAATCCAGGTCTGATACTCTTAGGCCTTTTCTGGAGATCAGAATCACCTCAGAAGCTTTAAAAAACAATCTATAGGCCAGGGGCAGTGACTCACATCTGTAATTCCAGCACACCTGTAATTCCAACACTTTGTGGGGCCAAGATAGGAGGATCACTTGAGCCCAGGAGTTCGAGACCAGCCTGGGTAACAGAGGGAGACTGCCCCCATCTCTAGAAAAGATTAAAAAATTAGCTGAGCATGGTGGCAACTGCCTGTGGTCCCAGCTACTCAGGAAGCTGAGGTGGGAGGATCATCTGAGCCCAGGAGTTCAAGGCTGCAGTGAGCCAAGAGATTGCACCACTGCACTTCAGCCTGGGTGACAGACCAAGATCTTGTCTCAATCAATCAATTAAATCCATCATCAAGTCAAGGGAAAGGGAAATCATTGACCTGTGCTCAGAGTAGTCAGGGTCCTTCTGAGTAACATGGTGACAAGTGTAAATGACAGCATTCATTATATAAAAGTGTCGCCCTTGCGGGTATAGGAATCATGACCTTTCTACAAGTGGAGCTTAGAGTTCATATGGCCCAGTCTCCTCACTTCACAGATGAAGAACTGAAGTACAGTCATGTGCCGTGGGACAATGTTTCAGTCAACAATGGACCACATACATAAGGATGGTCCCATGAGATTATGGTACTGTATTTTTACTGTGCCTTTTCCACATTTAAATATGTTTAGTTACACAAATACTTCCCATTGTGTTACAGCTGCCTATAGTATTCAGTACAGTCACATGTTATTCAGGCTTGTAGCCTAGGAGCAATAGCCTATCCCTTATAGGCTAGGTGTGTAGTAGGCTACACCAGGGGTCCCCAATCCCCGGCCCGCAGACCAGTACTGTTCCATGGCCTGTTAGGAACCAGGCCGCACAGCAAGAGGTGAGCAGCAGACAAATGAACATTACTCCGCCTCCTGTCAGATCACAGGCCGCATTCGATTCTCACAGGAGCACAAACCCTATTGTGAACTACGCATGCAAGCGATCTAGGTTGTGCCCCTTATGAGAATCTAATGCCTGATGATCTGAGGTGGAACAGTTTTATCCCAAAACCATTCCCCCCTACCCCCAGTCTGTGGAAAAACTATCTTCCATGAAACCAGTCCCTGGTGCCAAAAAGATTGGGGACGGTTGGGCTATATCATCTTGGTTTGTATAAGTGCACTCTTGATGTACATTCTTGATGTATTGATGTGCTGATGCTCACACAATGATGAAATCACCTAACAGAGGATTTCTCAGAATGTATCCTGGTCTCTAGGTGACATGTGACTATATCTTAGTGTTCAGTGACTCAATGTCACACTGGTCTTTGGAGAAGCAATAAAATAATGACTAAACATATGGACTTTGGATTCTAGCAGACTTGAGATCAAACCCTAGCTCTCCCCAAATAATTGTGATATTCTGTGCGAGTTACTGAATCTTGCCAAGCCTTGTAACAGCTTGCTCATCATTGTAAGATAGGAATATTATACATATTTAAGCATTCTGCACAGGGCCTAGAATATTATAGGCACTCAAGAAATGATGGGAGCTATAAAATCATGGTAAAGGTGATGACGATGTGTGTAGATCATGATAATGGAAAGACAAAGTCAAAAATCCAGGTTGCGTAATATCTACCATAGCCCCCTTCCCACTACCCTACTTGGCTGGAATTCTGGTCTGGAATTGTACTGACCCAAAAGACATCTCTTAGAGCTGCATTGTCTGGGAGGATAGCCACTAACACATGTGGCTATTTAAAGTTAAATTAGTTAAAATTTTAGTTCTTCAATCACACTAATAACATTTCGAATCTTGAGTAGCCACTGAGGTTCGTAGCTACCAAACTGGACAGCACAGATACAGAACATTTTTCATCAGAGCAGAAAGTTTTATTGGACAGAAAGTTCTATTGGAAGCTACCCTCGTGGGCTTTTTCCCCTAGCTTCTTTATATTAATATTTTTGTTATTTCTTTCTCTCAAAATATGGTACTATTATTTTAAGCTAGAAGAGAAGTTTCTGCAGTCTCCTAACGCCACCCGTGAAGACACCGAAGCCCAGGGGGTGGAACAGATAGATACACAAGTCACACAGCTAGTTAATACCAGAGCTGGTCCAAACGTGCTTCTGACTCAATGCACGAATCATTCTGTAGCAACACAGGAGGCCCAGGGAATCAGCTAAGCCTGTGTTTTCCTAAGTAGAGTTCTGATTGATCAGGGCTGAAGCACACATTTAACCCATTCTGTCATACTGCCAAATGCAGGGTGATGTGAGTCCAAGTGGTTTATTACAAGGGAACTAGAATATCATCTTCTCAAAGCCACCACCCAGTGGCAAAGACATTCTCAAATCCACCACCCAATGACAAGGACATTCTCAAAGCCACCACCCAATGGCAAGGACACCAAAGATGGCATGGGGGAAGCTCTGGACTGCTCAGCCTCTCCTTTACATTCCTTTCTGGTTTGGGTTGTGGAAAAAAGAGATTCTGCTTGGTGTTTTAGAATTGATCTGTTAATTTTAAGTTTAAAATGTTCACTTGCAGAGAATTTTTGTAAGGATAAAGACTTTGAGATGTGTTTCTGACTCTTAGAATGTCTATATTGTTATTTTTCTTGGTTGGGTTAACTATGGTAAGTTCAAAGCCATGGTTGATAAATTTTCACAAGGTTGATGAACAAATTCAACCTCCTGTGGCATAAGTCACACCTTTAAGTGAACAAAAACAATTCATTGTAACAAATATTTTCACAACTGTGGTTTCTGAGAACAAATATCGAGTCTCAAGTTTACAACAAGTTCATAGTGTTTAGATGATAACTGTTAAAAGGAAAGGTTTTTGTCCTTTTTTTGTAAGCAGAAAGAAACAGAATCCATGTTGACACAACAGGAGAAACAGAGATATAACTTAAGTGTTATAGGAACTGATACAAGCATCACTTAGATTCAGCCACCAGTGTCAGAAAACGCAAATAGCTGGTGTTTAAACAAGATAGAAGTTTATCATACAGACTTAGCCTGGAAGTAAAAAATCCAGGGCAGGTTTGGCCACTTAAGCAACGGTCAGAAGTCCAGGCACCACTTCTATCTTGTTGCTCTGCGTTTATCAACAAGTGGCTTCCACCGCATGGTCCAATTTGGCTGCTTGGGCACCAGCCATCATGTCCACAGTCTTGCTTACAGAGGGAAGACTAGAGAAGGTTGGGCCTCTTCCCTTTGGGGCCCTTCCTGGAAGTCTCACAAGGAACCGCTGCTTAGACCTCATTGTAAGAACCAGTCTCCTAGGTGCAAAAGAGGCTAAAAAATATAATCTTCATGCTGGATGGTCATGAGCCCAACTAAAGATTCTGAGTTTCATTATTAAGGAAGAAGAGGAGAACACGTATAGAGGGAAAACCAGCAGCCTCTGCCACAGTATAAATATATTCGTTGTTAACTTTCTTTTATTTTTTTTTCCCAAGACAGAGTCTCACTCTGTTGCCCAGGCTGGAGTGCAGTGGTGCAATCTCGGCTTACTGCAACCTCTGCCTCCCGGGTTCAAGCGATTCTCGTGCCTCAGCCTCCCGAGTACCGGGACTGCAGGCACACGCCACCACACCCAGCTAATTTTTTGTATTTTTAGTGGAGATGGTGTTTCTCCATGTTGGCCAGGCTGGTCTCGAACTCCTAACCTCAGGTGACCAACCCACCTCAGCCTCCCAAGGTGCTGGGATTACAGGGATGAGCCACCATGCCCAACCCTTCTTTTTAACTTTCTATACAAAGGGTTATGGCTAACCTATAGTTTTACCTTCTTAGAAGGGTTTTTGTCAGTCCATTCTTTTTTTTTTTCTTGTTTCCAGTGGGATTGGATGTCAATCCATTCTTGATGTTTTTTTCCAAATACATTTCTGATTTTGTATTTTTCAACTGTAGTCCTATCTGAGGAAGAATAAAAATATTAGGAACTTACAGTTTTATTCCAGAAGTTGCAGGCCCTACCTGTCTGCTCCTCCCCCTGCCTCTCTCTCCAGCATTGCCTCCTACCAGTCCCTCTCCTTCCGTTGCTCTGTCTCAGCCCCAGTCACAACAAGCTGAGGTCCAAAGCACCAGGCCCCAGGCTTCCTCTGGGCCTCTGTACACATGCTGTTAGCCTCTGCCTGGAAATGATATAGTGAATGGCTAATAGGCCTGGCTCTGAGCCCAGCTGCCTGCAGTATATCCTGGCACTGCTGTTTATAACTGTGTGTCCTTAGGTAAGTTAGATAACCTCTCTGTACCTCTATTTTATTATCTAATAATAGCACTTACTTCAGGGCTCTTGTCATTATCAAATGAGCTAACATCAGAAAAATGCTCAGAGCTTGCTTCACATATAACAAACCCTCAATAGTAGCTAAGTTTGTTGAGCATTTACTATGTGCTAAGCACCTTACTGACATTCTCTCCCTTAATCTTCACAACAATGCTGAGGTGTGGCCTTACAATTCCCCTGTTTCACATATGAGGAAACTGAGGCACAGAGATGGGGAGTAGTTTGCCCAAGGTCCCACAGCTAGCAAATGATGAAGCCTGGGCACAAACATCTTCAGAGTACATACCCTTACTACCACATCAGCACCAGATGTGAAGGTGTAGTGGGTTTCCTTTGTAAGGCTGTGTGCTGCCTTTTGCTACTTTTTATGATTTTGTTTTTGGAGGCAGAAGCAGGCCCACATGGCCCCTAGGAGCCCACCCTGGCTTTTGCCTCTTGGCCCTGACCAGGCCCGTCCCTGCCCTTTTAGGCTTCTAGAGCCACCTCTCCCAGGATATGAAGCTGTACAGCCTCTGCTGCTTCCTGGATGTTTATTTTTTGTGCCCAAGCCTGCAAGGCGTGTTTCGCGGCAGCCTCACACAGAGTCTGTGGCTTCTCCACTTCTGAGGCTGCGGCTCCCCTCCCAGGGCCATTTATATCCTGGGCCCCATCATCATCCAACCCCATTTGAGATCAGGTTCCTGCCACAGAGGCCTCTGCCTTCCTTAACCAGGCTGGTCTGTGGCATAGGCAGCAGCTAGCGGAGAGAGGCACAGGCTGGCTGGCTGGTCCCCACATGGTACGTGATGGACACTGAGCTTGCTGAGCATCCTGCAGTTCAGAGCTGGCACTCTCTAGACCTGATGGTCTCAGCCTTTGGTCGGCATCAGAAAATACCTACAGAGAATAAGAGATAAGATGCAGATGCCAAGTGCAGCAGGCTAAATCACAAATAGCTCCAAAATGATCAAGTCCTAATGCGCAGAACTTGAAAATGCTACTTTATAAAGAAAAACAGTCTTTACCTATGTGATTCCATTAATGTTGACATGAGATTCTCCTAGATTATCTGAGTGGGCCCTACATCTCATCACAAGTATCCTTATAAGAGAGAAGGATGCTTGACACAAAGAAGGAGAAAGTAATGCAAGACAGAGATAAAGACTGGAGTGACTAGCCACAAGCCAAGGAATGCTAGCTACCACCAAAAGCTGAGAGGGGCAAGGAATGGACTCTCTCCTAGATCTCCATGAGAGAGGGGAGGGCCTGCAAACACCTTGATTTTGGACTTCTGGCCTCCAGAGCTGTGAGAGGCCAGAAGTCCAAAATATGGCCACCAGATTGTTGTTTCAAGCCACCAAGTTTGTGGTCTTTTGCTACAGCAGCCATAGGAAACTAACACACCAAGCAAACGGGCACAGACCCGGGAATATCCATTTTCACCAGCTCCCTAGGTGATCTGGAGACTCCCTGAAGATGGGGAACTAGATGGAGCATCCAGGCTGATGCTCCAGGAGGACCATGAATTCTTACAGTTTTGCTCACATCCTATTTAAACTGTGAGAGCCTGGAGCATGTTGAATGCCTAAATACCGATGGGAAACATACAGAGAGGAGATGGTGGTTGAAGTCATGGGACTGCAGGGAGATAAATGATTGAGCCAAGTCCCCAGGGAAGCAGAAGCAGGGAAGAGAAAAGGAATCCTTCTCTGGGATGGGAAGGGAAATGAAGCCTAGAGGATGTGTAGCTGTTTGCAGGCAGGGTCAAGGTTGTTGTTATTCATGTATTATTTTTGCTCGCTCTGCCTAGACCTGCCTGTCCTCAGTACTGCTTGCAGCCCTCAGCCCTCTAAGTCACCTTTCTTAGGATGTGCAGCTGGAAAGCCAGAGATGCTTCCTTGGTCAGTCACGTGCGTCTGGGCACTATCTGTAGAAATCACCTCCTCACCTGTGCCCTTTGCCATTTGCCCCATTTCAGACAATTTATGTAATCACTCATAAGTGGCACTGACCTTCACGCTGCAAAAGACTTGTACTTTGGTACAAAATGGCTTACTTTTCCCTAAAAGCACTGACTCTATCCATGAGGCCTCTGTTTCATGGTTCCCAAGTGGTGTATTGTGCATAATCAGGGTGTGGGGAAGTCATCCTCCATGGGATCTAGCACCTGAGCTTCCTCCCTACCTCAGCCAATTGTGCATGATGGTGAGGGAGGAAGAATCAGCAGTAGAAAGAGAAGGCTATGTCCCTGCATGCAACTAAATCCCATTGCAGATGTGTGTCAGTCAGGTTTCTCCAGAGGAACAGAACCCATAGGATGTGTGTACATGTTGGCGGAAAGAAGGGGAGATTGGACGGATGGATGGATGGATGTGTGGGTGGATGAATGAATGGATGGGTGGCTGGGTGGATGAATCGATGGATGGATGGATGGATGGATGGATGGATGGATGGATGGATGGATAGATGGAACAGATGGTGAGTGGACAGATAGACAGATAGACAGATTGATCAACACACACATATATTACTGGTTTTGTTTCTCTGGAGAGCCCTGGCTAATATGCTTTATATACACAACACAGATTTAAGGAATTGGCTTACAAGATTGTGGATACTGGCAAGTTCAAAATCTGCAGGATAGGTCAGCAGGCTGGAGACCCAGAGAAGAGTTGAGGTTGCAGCTCAAGTTCAAATGTATTCGACTGGCAGAATTCTCTCTTCTGGGAAAAATCAGTTTTTTTCTCTTGACGCCTCCAACTGTTCGGATGAGGCCCACCCATGTTATGGATGATAATCTGCTTTACTCAAAGCCTACTGATTTAAAGGTTAATCTCATCTAAAAATTCAGAGTAATGTCCAGACTACTGTTTGACTAAATATCTGGATAATGTGACCTAGCCAAGTAGATACATAAAATTAACATCACAAGGTGTCTTTCTCGAGTGTTTATATTCCCAGGATGATACTAAATACTGCTATGAATACAAAATAGTCTGCAGACAATGCTTGGTTCAGAACAAACTCCCCAAGACTGAAGGGCTTCACAGGGTTGTTGGAAGACTAAATGAGAATCCAGGTGGAGACAGAACCCACCTTTATGATAAAAACTGAAGCCTCCAGGCACTAGCTTTTCCCAGCCTCACTTGCAGCTTGGCAAAGGCTCATGAACCAGGCTCGGCCAATCTGATGCACCAGCTCAACTCCTTCTATTCCATTGTCTCCTGGACCTGTGACCCCTTTTCCTCCCCAACTTAAACACAATAACAAAATTCACCTTCCCTGGTTTCTGACTTGAGTCATGATTCTCTGTAGGTCATGGTTACTCAAAATATGTTCCATAGACCAGCAGCTGCATTATCACCTGGGAGCGCATTAGAAATGCAGAATCTCAGCTGGGTGCGGTGGCTCATTCCTCTAATCCCAGCTCTTTGGGAGGCCAAGGCAGGTGGATGACCTGAGGTCAGGAGTTCGAGACCAGCCTGGCCAACATAGTGAAACCCTGTCTCTACTAAAAATACAAAATTAGCTGGGTGTGGTGGCACATGCCTGTGATCTCAGCTACTTGGGAGGCTGAGGCAGGAGAATTGCTTGAACCCAGGAGGCAGAGGTTGCAGTGAACCAAGATCACTGCGCAACAGAGCGGGACTCCATCTATAAAAAAGAAAAAGAAAGGAAGAAAGAGAAAGAAAGAAATGCAGAATCTCAGGCTGTGCCCCAGACTCTCTGAATCAGGATCTGCATTTTAACAAGATCCCAGGTGATTCAAAGGCACAGAAACATTTAAGAAGCACTGACCTAGAACACTACCTTGGCTCCTCCCACTCCAGGCCATCTGCAGAAACCACCCTCGTGGGCAGTTGGACTATGCCTTGCACAGTAGGGCTGTCACTATAGTAACCAGCTGTGGCCACCTCTTACCTCTACCATCTTCCCGGCTTTGGTGCCCACAGATGCAGTGATGTTACAATGAGCATTGCTATAGAAACCAGCACCGAATATGGTCTACTATCAATTTAGCTGCTTTTCCTTCACTCTCTGTGTCTCTGGAATTATGAGCTTCCTAAACCACAAATATCGAAATTCCTTTCCAGTCTAAGAAACACTCAACAAATAACAAAGATGAAAAGTCAGGGCCACACAGTTTACAAAGGGAAGGCTATAGCATCTGCAGAGGTTTGCATCTATTTGTAAAGAAAAGGCAGGAACATCCCTCTATGTCGCTCTGTGTAGCAAGGCCTTTTCCTGCACCTGGCAGGGAGAAGATGAGTGATGCTAAAAACAATGTTGGTGATGATGATAATAACAGCCCCCATTTATTGAGCACTTTCTCGGTACCAGGCGCCACGCTAAGTACATCATCCCGTTCAATTCTTCCAATAACCCTGTTTATTTGTTCCCTGTGACTGCTGTAAAAAATTACCACACACGGACGCTTAAAACAACACAAAATTCTTCTCTTAACAGTTCTGGCAGCCAGAAGTCTAAAATCAGCCTCACTGGGCTAAAGTCAAGGTATAGGCAGGGTTGGTTCTTCCTAGAGGCTCTGGGAAAGAATCTATTTCCTTGTCTTTTCCAGCTTCTAGAGACTGCCTGCATTACCTAGCTCATGGCCCCTTCCTCTCATTACTCCAACCTCTTCTACTGCTTCTTTTCCTTTTTCCTTTGACCTTCTTGCCTTCCTTTGATAAAGACCCTTGTGATTGCATTTAGGGCCCACCTGGAGGCTCCTGAACTTAATCACACGTGCAAGGTCCATTTAGCCAGTTAAGGCAGCTTTCACAGGTTCTAGGGATTAGGATGTGGACATCTTCGGTTAGGGGTGGGAGGCATTCTTCAGCCAACCATACCCTCTGAGGTGGGTGCTATTATTATCCCTATTTTCCCAATGAGAGAACTGAGGCATGACACTTGAAATATCTTGTTCAAGCTCCCACTGCTAGAAGGTAGAGCTGGAATCCAGTTCCAATCAGTCTCTCTCCAAAGCCCGTGCTCCTAACCACAGCACTGTACAATCTTCAAATGGCTTTGACCCCATCCCCTACTGCACTAGGTTGAAGGAAACAAACCAAACACCATCAGCTTTCTAAAGAGTTTGAGCTTCCAGTTGAAGCCCCTCTACTGAAGACTGAAACCTCAAAATAGGATTTCTTGGTTTGGGGTACTGACCTAGAACACTACCTTGGCTCCTCCCACTCCAGGCCAAGTTTTCTTCAAAATGTCAAACCTCAAGTATATTAGTTTGCTGGGGCTGCCATAACAAAATGCCATGGACTAGGTGGCTTAAACAACAGAAATTGATTTTCTCCCCATTCTGGAGGCTGGAAGCCCCAGATCAAGCTGCTGGCAGGGTTGTCTTCCTCCAAGGCCGCTCTTCTTGGCGTGCATGGCCACCCTCTTGCCCCACTGTGCACACACAACCCTGGTGTCTCTCGTGTCCTGATCTCCTCTTCTTCTAAGGACATCAGTCAGACTGGATTAGGGCCACTCTAATGGCCTCATTTTAACTTCATTACCTCTTCAAAGGCTCTCTCTCCAAATACAGGCATATGCTGAGTACTGGGGGTTAGGGCTGCAACATAGGAATTTGGGGGAACACGGTTCAGCCCATAACAACAGGTAGTTTCTCTGAACCCTGGAACAAGGCAGTTTAGCATGTGAGATGAATTCCTGAGCCCATGGATGTCCTCACTCCTAGGTTCCATACCTACTCCGCACTCTTTACCACGTCTCCAACCTCACCCTCAGCAACTCTTGATATCTTTTAATCTACTACCTCTGGATATGCCTGTGGCTCAAGCATCCAACCATGACCTCTTTGTGGGAGGGTCCTATCTTCTGATCTCCCCAAAACTTTCTGTCCCTATCACTAGGACCTTCATGGTCTTCTCTCCATCTTCCCTAGTCTACACACTAGGTACTTCCTAAGGCCCCAGCAACTGGCTTTTCCAATAGAATCGAAGAATATTAGCATTGGGAAGAACTGAACAGGCTAATGGTAGCCACCTCTGACCTACCATCTGCATTTGTAAGTAAAGTTGTATTGGAACCCAGCCAAGCTCCTTCATTTGTGTATCATCTGTGGCTGTTCTCACTGCAATGTCAGAGTTGAGTAGTAGCAACAGAGACTGACCTTATGGCCCACAAAGCCTAACATACTTACTAGTTAGCCTTTTACAGAAAAGGTTTGCTGAGCCCTGAAATAGATCATCTGATGCAAACCCACCCCACTTTACAGGTGAAGACACTGAAGGCCAAAACGTTGATGGGCCAGAGGAGCCCTCCAGTGAGTTACGGGCAGATCCAGGGCTGGGATTCAGTTCTGCAAAATCCCAAACCAGGCCTTTCTCACATCCTGTAACATTCTTTCTAGTACCCAGACTCCCCAGCCAAACTCCTTTTCCATCCTGGGTGGTCAGCCTCATCACCAGCTCTCTCTTCACCATTTCAGAGAAAGGCCATGTCCGTGTATGTTCTCCATCTCCTACTTGAATCTGGGCTTAACAGCCTTCCTGAGCTGACATGCTGGCTTGACTCTGCAGGAAGCCCATCAAGGCTTTCTCTTTCCTTCCAGAGCCTCTAGTCGCACCCTATATACCTCTCCTAACACCACAGTGAAGATGTAGATGGCCACTGTCCTGTTTGAGTGGACCATCTCCCTCCTCTGCTCATCTCAGGCCACGTGGTTGGGGATTAACAAACCTGGCTTGCTGCAGAATTTCCAGGGGAGCTTATTTAAAATGCAGATGCCCAGGCCCTACCCCAAGACTTATGGGAGCCAAACTCTGGATGTAAAATCATGGCTGTTGCCATTTTAACAAGTTCTTCATGTGCTTCTGATGTTCAACAAAGTCTAAGAACCACTTCACTAAACCATGAGCTCCTCAAGCTTCTTTTGGGTTTTAGTCACTTCAAACAACTTCAGAATAAAGGAGACAACCAGTGGAACATTGTTCTCTTAAAAAAAAAAAGTATAAAGAGAATGCAAGATTTTTTCTTCAGCATTCTCCACCCTCTCCTTGACTCAGAGCCCTCGAATTCTTTCCCATCTCCAATTCCTCCAAAGAAAACATACAAATAATGCTATTTTTTCCCCTCTGAGTAGACAAGATAAGAAGATTTTTAAATGAGTTACTGGCAAAGAATTCATGAGCTTATATACTATTAAGGTCAGAGTGACAAGAAGAAGGCAATGTTGAAAGGAGAGAATAGGTACATAGAAAATTCCAGGAGAGGCTGGAATCCTGAGGTTCAAGGTGTCTTATTCTGGAGCTTGCCAGCTGTCTTGGTAAAGGTGTTATTTTTGAAGGCAGCAGAGCCTTTTTCTTTCTTCTTCTTTTTTTTTTTTTTTTTTTTTTTTTTTTTTTGCTATTCTTTGGCATTCACCAGGCATTGGCCGTGTGCCCTGGGCCTCGCTTGGCATCTAACATGAAAGGCAGCAGCCCAAGGGCAGTTCTGTGATGGAGATGCAGCCCCCCAGGGACTCAGGGTTGTGGACTGTGCTCTGGGGCCACTGAGCAAAGGAATGATGAGGGGAGGCGCCTCTGAAACTTAACCCAGAGAGTTCTCTGAGCATTTGGGGCTGGTTTCCAACAATAATGGAGACACTGTGACAAAAATAAGTTCTGCTCACCTGAGACAGTAGAATCCAATTCAATTTCAAGTCAGCGTGTGTTTATTGAGTGCCTGATTCAGTTTAGGTGATGGAGAGAATGGGAGAATGAGGGAGACAGCCTAAGAAGCAGGCTGATTCAGGCAGAAAATCCTTGGGACTCTGCCCCACAGATAGGTCCACAGGTCCAGAAACTCAATTTTATCAGTTTCACCCAGTAAGAAATTGGTAAATCTTAGTCTGTGTCATGAGCAAATATTTATTAAGTGCCTACAGTGTGCCAGGCACCATCCTGGAGCTGCGGCGGGAGCCGTGATCCAAGAAGTCCCCATTCCCTGCCCTGGTGGAGTTTACATTCTAATGGGGCATTTGCAGAGGCAGCGGGTAAGGCCAGAGGAGTCCTCTGGGGTGAGGCCCACAATGCGAGGGATTCAAGTGAGGTAAAGTCAGGAGGAACGTCTAGGGAGAAATGGGATTTAGCCTGTGGTTTGAAGGTTAAGAGGGATGTGGATTTTTAAAGGGCTTGAAGCCTTACAGACAGGAGGCTCAGCTGCATGAACAGGAATCAGCCCATTGCATGCCAGCAAGAGTCCATGACCTGATCAGCTCCCCTGGGGTGACAGGTGCATGCTGGGTAACAGAGTGCATGCTACGAAGTTGGACAAGAGAATGTCAATATCACATGGGGTTTCTCTACACATGCTATATAGTCAAGTAACTTGGGTCTGACTCCCAGCTCTTGCTAGTCTTGTGGTCCAGGGCATGATACCTAACCTGGATCAACATCATTCTCCTGATCAATGAAATGGGCATAATCATAACTAGCACAGAGGTTGGTCCTAGGCATTCAGATGAGACCATGAATCAATGTAAATGGCTGAGCTGCTGAATATTATTAACATTGGATAAATAGATCTGACTATAGGAAAACTGGCACCTGCCACCAAAAACTTTCTGGGAAGCTCATGACATCTGCATTTCTCAAGGGGGCTGGCTGACTTATAACCCCATCTACCTGTCATCCTCTTCTCAATGCCATGGTGGCCATGCTGGACTGAATGGCAGCCCCAGGGCCGGGGGAGGCAAGAGACATGCCAAGAACATATTTGCATGACCTAGCCTCCTTCAGTTTTGCACCCAGGGAACCCCACTGGCTTCATGCTAGTCTGACCCCTGCTGAATGGCAGGAAACCTTTTGCATCTACGTAGTGCATTTCTCAAAGTGTGGTACTTGGCCCACCTAAATCAGAATCCCAGGGGCTGCCTATCAGAATTATCTTCTTGGACTCTAACACAATCACCATCTCTGGATATAGAGCCAGATGATTCCCAGGCCCTCTCATGATGACTTTAGAGCAGAGGTTCTTTGAGAATGTCGTCCGCAGACCAGTAGCATCCGTATCAGGAACTGGTTAGGAATGCATTTCCTGGGTACCTCCCCTGATCTATGGAATCAGAAACTCTGGGAATGAGACCCAGCAGTCCGTATTTTAACAAACCCTCCAGATAATTCTGATGCACATTAAATTCACATGGGGAGGTTTTGAAAACTGCCTGTATCCAGCTGCACCCTATACCAATTAAATCAGAATCCCTGGGACAGGACTCAAGTGTCATTATTTTTTCCAAAATCTTCTCCAGTAATCCTAATGTGAGGACAGAGTTTATCATCACTGGAAGAAATAGGAAGATGGCACAAATGCGTTGCACTTAGAAAGTTGCCCTTCAGTTGTAGGCATTGTCTCAATGCGTGCAACAAGCTTGCAACAGCCTACCATGATCCCATTAGCAGGCAGGGAACTTGAGGCTCTCAGAGTTTCAGGGGTGTGACCAAGGTCCAAAGGGCCTCGAATTGTGGGCGCCACTGGGTGGCTGCCCAGCCAGCCTGGGTCTGGGGGAAGGCTGCCGGTTAACCTGGCTCTCTTTAGAGAGCCTTTTCTAGGTGCCAAAGCCTTTTGGCAGCATGTTGCCTGGGCAGAGCTGAAGCCTGAAAGAGCTCCAGAAAGACGACAGGGACGAGGCTGCAGATGGGAAGGGAGTGCTAGCGGACACCTTAGGCTTGGGTCCACAATCAGGGAGCCCCAAATAGAAATAACACGGGGCGCTGATTGGTTTTCCGCCGCTCCAGACCCTGCGCTTGGTGCTTCAAGTGACTCATCCTTATGTTCACATGATCGCCGAGAGGGATAATATTCCCAGATCAGTTACCTCCTAGCCTTTCCTAGTCACATTATCCCCAGGCTACAGATGAGGAAACTGAGGCCCAAGGATTCCAGAGAGCCTGCCCCGGGGTCACCGGTGCGGTCCGGATGTCTCCAAAGGCTCTCCCACTACTCTGGAATTCAGAGGCAGGGTCTCCAGGGAAAGCGGGGTGTGGGCTGGGGAGTCGGGAGATGGGGGGATCCCCGCGAGCAGGGGGTGGGGCCAAGCCGGCAGCCCCTGCCTCCGGGGAGGCCCTAACGCGCGTCTCCGGGTCCCTCCTCCCACCGCAGGCCCTTCCTCGTGCTGCCGCCGCTGATGGAGTGGATCCGGGTGGCCGTGGCGCACGCCGGCCACCGCCGCAGCTTCTCCATGGACAGCGACGACGTCCGCCAGGCGGCCCGGCTGCTGCTGCCCGGCGTGGACTGCGAGCCGCGCCAGCTCAGGTAGGCGCGGGGGCGGGCGGGGGGCGGCAGGGGAGGGAGGGCTCCGGCCTCGCAGCCTCCACCCCTCCAATCAGAGCCCCGCTGGGCGGCCTGAGCCCCGCACACCTCGGCGGCGCTGGGGTGGAGGCTCCCTGGTTGAAGTGGCAGACGCGGGCTGAACAATAAGCAGGTCCCTGGAGTTGCAGGGTTGAAAGAACGCGGCGAGGCCCGTGGAGGACGGTCCGATTCTTAGATTACAGATGTCGGTGTGGTTTCTCTCTGGCTGTTCTCTCTGCGCCTAGCTTCTCCCTCTCTTTCTCTCTCCTCCCCCAGTAAAATCCGGTCTTCCTGTAGTTTTTTAACCAAACCTTACAGAGTGAAATTTCTGGCTGGGTCAGAGAGCGCCTCTGCGTTTTCACTTGCGTGAGGATGGAGTGGTCTTCTCTGCATTCCTCAGGCCTGTATCCAGGGCTCTCCTCTGTCAAGGTGGGAATTACCCATGGGCCACTCAGGGGCCCCCATGCGTGGGTGCTCATTTTGAGCCAAAGCAAGAGAAATAAAAGAACTCACTCAGGTGAGTCATAATCTGGCTTTAAATGCAAAAAAACACAGAAACCCAGTGGGGCGTGTGTGTGTGCGTGCGCGTGCACGCACACGAACACACCTAAGAGCATGCACTTTCCCGACTCCCCCCACTCCCAGCTGTTTCCCAGGTGTCATTGTCATCATTTTCAAATCCCTTCCTACCCACTTGATGGGAAACTGCCTTTCCTCCACAGTTCATCCAACCAGGCCAAGGGCAGAGATTTCTGCCCTTTCAGATCTGATTGGGGTTCTGCAAGGAAATGGAGGGTTTGTGGTATGCAGCAGCCCCCCGAAGGCCCAGAGCTGTCCCTCAGCCCAAGAACATGCAGAGAGCGAGTCAAAGTCATAATTGCTAGCATTTATTGGATGTTTACCACATGCCGAGCACTGTTCTAAGTGCTTTACACAGATGAATATTTCCCAAACAGTGTAAAGTAGGTACTGTGATTATGCTCACTTCAAAGGTAAGGAAACTGAGGCACAGATAGGTTCAATACCATGCTCAAAGTCACTGGAGTAGTAAATAATAGAGTCAGGATATGAATTCAGGCAGTCCAGAGCCCTGGGATCATAGTTCTAACCACTGAGCGCTTTCCTGTCTTCAGATTTTTGTCTGGGCATTTTCTGGCTGTGCCACCATGCCTTGTACCTTGTCACCTACAATAACAGCCCATCTCAGGGAGAGGCGAGGGAACGGTCATTCACTGAGCACCTACCATGTGACGGTTATCAATTGCAACAAAAGATTTCTCTCTTTTAATCCCCGAAGCGGCATCATGAGGTTGGCATAATCTTCCCATTTTACAGATTGGGAACCATTGGTGGAGCAGCTTGTAGGTAGAAGTGCCAAGGAAGAAATTCTTGTGGTCCTACTCTAAGTCCAGCCTCTGCCACCGGACTGTGCTGCCTCCTGTTTTCAGGGGTGGGCGGGGCACATTCTGCGTGCAGGCTCACTCCCACCACTCCTGCTCATTGCCCCCATCGCCAACCTGGATGTCTTGGCAGCTCCTGCTCTCCTTTTGCAGGAAGCCCGGGACTGCTGGGTGACAGGGAAGGTTAGATGTTTTCTTAATGCTAACTGACAAAGCATTCCTTGTTTGTCATACCTTCAGGAGACCCTACAGCTTAAAAGTTAGGAGCCTGGGCTCCAGGGTCCCATTGCCTGGGTCCAGATCTCACCACCAGAGTTAATCAACTGTGCAAACTTGGGCAAGCTAGTTAACCTCTCTGGACCTTAGTTTTCCCATGAGTAATGTGGAAATATGAATAGCAGCTCTGCTTAGAGGTTGGTGTGAGCACAAAGTAGGATAATGAACGTGCAGTATCCATTCAAACAATGCCTGAAAGGAAATAAGTGCCTATAAAGCGGTCATTTTTAACTAAAGTCCCCGAGCCTCTGCTACCGCTGAAATAATAAGGAGGCTCCTACTTAGGTATTATTCTATAATTTTGGAAGGCCTTTAATACTTTCTCATAACAGCCTCAAAACAAACATTGGTATCCAGGAAAAGCAGTGCTGCCCCATTTTACAGAGGTGGAAATCAAGGCTTAGTGACATTAGGTAACTCTGCCAACATCACACAGATGGTAAGTGACAGAGTTGGGAGCCAGATATCGCACCCAGAGACCCAATGATACAACCATGTGTCATTTTTCTGCTCTCTCACCCTAGACCTAGACAAGCCCTCTCAGAGGACACTATCTTCTGGATGGCTCTGTCCCTTTTCACAATTTTGCAGACTGAACATGAGCCTCAGGGGCCACTGTCCATCTCTGCGCCCCCCCTCCTCAGCACAGAGCTCTTTCTGCATGGTCTAGCGACCAAGTGTGTGTCATTCTGACAGTCACACCAAGGATTTCAATTTCAGCATCTGTCCAGTTTGAAGCCTCAGCCCTGGCATTCAGGATGTGAATGTGATGTGCACGCAGGCCAGAATGCACAGAGGAGCAGAGGAAGTCGGTTCCTCTGAGTCCCTGGGCTCTTTTTAATCATTTATCTCTTCATTCTTGACTCATTTGTCTCCTGAATGATGATTTGTGTACAGAAAATATACTAATTGATTGTTCGAGCTAAATTTTCATTCGATTTGGAAATCATCTTCAAAGAGAAAACTGAAATATTCAGTTAGCTTACCTAAATAGTAAGTGAAGGATTTACAAGTTCTATTAGCTACAAAAAATTCAGGACATGAAAGGATAAACCATTTCTTTTAAAAAGAATACTTATTTTTCAGACTAGTCAACATACAGATACATCTACACGTATATTTTCTAATCTCATTTAATGTGACATGAAGTAGGAATTACTGTCTCCATTTTGCAGGTAACAGGATCAAAGAAGTTTTGTTCATTCAAGACACCCAAGCGTTAGATACCAGGGACCCACCCTGTTCCTTACACTTACAGTCCGTGTGGTGTGTACATAGCTGTCCCCAACAACTGTGCAAGACAGCCTTTATTATCCCATTTTACAGATGAGAAGGCTGAGGCCCATTGAGGTTATGGGACTTATCCGAGGTCACACAGCTGCTGTGAGGCAGAGCAGGTCTAGAATGGAGGACTTGGCAAATAATGTAAAAATACAGTCTCCTTGCTTCCCTGCCCTCCCAGACATTCATTTTAGAAGTTGCTGGGTGGGCTTCTAGTTCTGAGTCGGTCAGAGCTGAGCTCCTTCTTTCTAAATAAACAGCCCTAGAAAGGGGAAGGCAGTTTGGTGTTCTAACAAATGCAGGAACTTGGGACATGGTGTTGGTGGCTGGAGTGTCTGTGACTATTAGCACATATAATTACCTACCAGCTGGCCGAGGGTTCCTGGTGGGAGGCAGCCTGGATACCAGCCGGGACAGAGAGACCAGAGTCAAGGATTCCCAGGTCTGATGCTGGCACTGCCATTGATTTTCAGAGTGACCTTGATCAAAAGCTGCCAGAGCTCTGCTTTTGTCTTTATGCAGCTATGGGAAGGTCTCACCATGGTGATCAGGTTTATTCAAAAAGGAATTCCATTCCATGAGGCTGCATTTCTAAGCTCACAGTGGTGACCCATTTATTCTTCCTTAATTAAAGTATCAGATAATACAAACCTGGTGAATTCTCCCTTTTTTTTTTCCTGTTCTTTGGAAGGTGAAGGAGTGGGGAGGGCAGTGGAAGGGAAGAAAAGAGCAATTAATATATTCGACAGGGTTTCTTATGTGTTCTTAATTACTGGTTTTGAAACACTTCGGAAATATACAGAGTAAATACTGTCATTTTCCTCATACAAGAGGCCGTTTTTCTGCTCTGGAGTGAAGGCTGTGTTAAAATAAAGATGGTCAGGGGTGTTCTTAAGTCCTCTCTTAGCTGATAAATGGTACCTATCAACAGGATTTGGGGGCTGTTTGAGCCACGAGTTTATTCCAGAAAATGGTTACTCTTTTTGCAAGTGTTTCTGTAGTGTGAACCAGATTTTGAGCTGTTCCAGAATGGGAAAGTTTAGGGGTGGTAAGCTGCAAAGAGTAATAGAATGGGACTCAGGAGGCCTGAGTCATTACATTCTTGCCTTCACTCTATTGAGCACCAACTAAGTGCCAATCCCCATACAGATGCTCTCATCTAGGTCTGCCGCTTTCTAGCAGGTGACCTTGGGCAAGTCCCCTCCCCCATCTCACAGGGCTTGGTTCATCCTCTGTAAAGATGGTAGTAACAGCTGCCTTGTGGGCTGGGGAAACTTGGCGGGGGTCAGGGATGAATCTAACGAATTGCACCACTCTATGACCTGCTACTTTCAACCCTTCCCAGGTCCCCTGGGCACCTTTTGAGGCTGACAGGTTTTGTTATTTGTCTGGTGTGGGCCAAACTGGATTATAGGTGAAGGCTGGGCCTCAACAGCACTTTTCCTAAAATACAACTCTATAATGACAGCTGGAAGTTCAGGTTCATTTACCAAAGATGTATGGGGTGCTGAGGCCTGCCCGACCCACACAGGACATCCTCTGTGGCCATTTGAGAACAAGATCGTCCAGATAAGGAGAATTCCAACCCTTGGTGTCAAAAGTTACTATCCATTCCCTCCTGAGATCTGTATGGTACCTGATCTTTTTCTGGGGTCAGGATACATGGAGTGCCCAGGACCTAAATGTCACTGAGGTGATGCAGATGGTAAACAATAGCAGACAAATGAGCAAGATTATTTCATAGAGCATGAGTGCCACAGAGAAAGCAAAACAGGGTGTAGGGGTAGAGAGGAAGTGAGGAGGGAGGGACAAGTCCATCAGGTGTTCGGAGAGCTCCTCAGGACGTTGCAGGGGCAGGGACAGGGTCATGCTCCTGCTTTAAAGAAAGGCTTGGTATCTTATGGGGCAAGGGGCTTATGGCTTTCCATAAGCCAACTAGAGCTGCATCCGCACCAGCCATTTCCCCCAGTCATGTCCACACGTTGACCCCTGAATTCAGACCTCGGGCCTCCCCCATCTTTCCCTCCACAGGTCACCTGCAAAGGCTGAGCACCTGGGCCCAGCGTGTGGCTCTGTGAGGCCTTGGAAAGCTCCCCAGCCTCTCACAGAGTCAGAAACTTCTCTCTCCTCTCTCCTTGAATGCCCTTGTCCTTCACTGGCCCTGAACAAATCCTGCAACTCCCCACAGACTCTCCGGCTGGGCTGCCAACCCCTTCTTCACCTCCAGCAGACATCACACTCCATGCCACGGCCCTGTGGTGACCCATTTGGAGCCGCTGCCTCCCCCGAACTGATGTCAATGCATTAGCGCCTCCCAGAAAACAGAGAAACTGCCCTCTCCCTGATCCCTGGGGAGTTGCTTTGGGGCTCAGCTGTCCTCACTTAACAGAGGAGTCAGAGACAGGCCGCGGAGCCTGCTCAAGGAGCCAGGCTAGTACCTTGCACTCAGCAAACATGTATGGAGCACCTGCTGTGTGCTTGCCTGCTCTGTGCTTGGTTAGGTGGGAGGTGGGCAGAGAGATCCACACGTAATTACAGAAGAATGTGGTGACTGCTCTAGAGAGGTCAGTAGAGATCTAGGTTTGAGGGAGCAAGAAATGACCTCCCTGCCGAGGTGCCATTTGATTGAAATCCTGGAGAATAAACAAATGTATCAGGTGGAGAAGGTGAAAATGGGGAAGAAGGGGAAAAGGCATTAGAGAAATAAGTCCACACAGTGGAAACCACATATGCAAAGGCCTCAAGGTGGGAAACTGTTGGAAGGAACACAAGGAATTCAGAGAGAGAGAGCATAGGGCTCAATAAACGGGAGCACCCACTGTGGGCTGGGCCCTGCACCAGGCTTTGGATACAGAGCTGAAGGCAGGGCCGAACTCACCATGGAAGGTCTTTTATGCTACGCAAAAGAACTTTGGCAGTATCCTGCAGGGGGTAGGAGCTGTCGCAGATTTGTAAACAAGGAAATGACAACCGATCTATATTTTAGAAAGACGGGCTGCTGGCAGTGTGGACAGTGGGCTGAGGCGGGCAGGGGCAGGGGAGCCTGGAGTCAGTGATCCACGTGAGATGCTGACAGCTGGAGGAAGGCAGGAGCAGTGAGGATGGAGAAACAGGGAAGGATGCAAGAGAAACAGAGAAGGCAGAAGCAGCAGGACTTGGTGATGAATGTCAGGAAGAGGGAGTGATAAATATTCCAAGTGACCCTGGTGGCGGGGGAGCAGGAATGGGGGAGTGAGTGTTTAATGGGTTCAGAGTTTCAGAGGGAGATAGACGGTTGCACAACAGTGTGAATATACTTAATGCACAGATCTGTACACTTAAAGATGGGTAAAGTGATAAATTTGATGTTATGTCTATTTTATCACAATAAAAATATGGTCCTGAGGTGTTCTCAAATAAAAAAATAATCCATACATAGCAGGGTATACAGTGTCAGCACTGCCCTTGTGTGAAATACACACACGTGTATTTGCTGTACATGCTTAGGCTGCCTCTGGAAGGATAGATAAGAAATGGATAACCAGAGTTGTCTCCAAAGAGGTGAATTGGGAAGCTGGGAGTATCAGTTCCCTAGGGCTGCAGTTACAAAGTACCACACACTGGCTGACTTAAAACAACAGACATTTATTGTCTCACCTTTCTAGAGGCTAAAAATCCAAAACCAAGGTGCTGCAGGGCCATACTCCTTCAAAAGCCTCCCTCTAAAGTCAAGGATCCTTCCTTGACATTTTCAGCCTCTGGTGGCTGCAGGCATTCCTTGGCTTGTGGCAGCATCACTCCAATCTCTGCCTCCATCTTCACATGGCCCTCTTTCCTCTGTGTCTGTGTCCAAATTTCCAACTTGTTATAAGGAAAGCAGTCATATTAGATTAAGGCCTGCCGTAATAGCCTCATCTTAACTTGATTATATCTGCAAAGACCCTATTTCCAAATAAGGTCATACCCATATGGAAAAGGAGTCAGGACTTAACATATCTTTTGGGGGGACACATGTCAACCCTTAACACTGGGAGACAGTAGTAGGAGGGAAACAGACTTGGAATGTTGGGTTTTGTGGCTTGTGCCTGTCTTGCCTAGTAGGGCCCTCACCAAATGTTTACATTAAAAGTTGACTCTGAAGTTTCTAGCATGGGAGAGTGTGTAGCTAGGGACGGTTTAAACAAATGCGGCACAGGACAATGTGGGAGAAGTACTAATGGGTTCCATTTTTTGTGTGTGTGGTGTTTTTTGTTTGTTTGTTTGAGACAGAGTCTTGCTCTGTCACCCAAGCTGGAGTGCAGTGGCATGATCTCAGCTCACCTCAACCTCCGCCTCCCGGGTTCAAGTGATTCCCCTGCCACAGCCTCCTGAGTAGCTGGGATTACAGGCACGTGCCACCACGCCCGGCTACTTTTTGTATTTTTAGTAGAGACGGGATTTTGCCATGTTAGCCAGGCTGGTCTGGAACTCCTGACCTCAGCTAATCCACACACCTCGGCCTCCCAAAGTGCTGAGATTACAAGCGTGAGCCACCCCACCCAGACGGGTTCCATTTTTTAAATGTTGGTTGTCCATCCAAGTGAGAGAGTCCTTATCAGGCCTCTTTATTGGAGCAAGGTTACCAGAGAATTAAGTCCACACTCCAGCATCTGCTCAGAAAGGAAGCAGAGCACTGTGGTTAGAACCACAGGACTTGGAGCCTGACTGCCTGGGTTCAAATCCTGGCTGCACCGCTTACTCTCTGTGTGACTTTAGGCAAGTTACTCACCTCTCTGGGCCTCAATTTATGTATCTGTAAAATGAGGACAATAATTATACCCACCTCATAAGGTTGTGGGAGGATTAGATGAAATAATGTGTACAAACCATTTAGAACAATACTTGTGTCATAGTAAATGCACATGAAATACTAGCTTATTTTCTCCCCTCTGGACCAAGAAGGTCAGTTCTTTCTGGTTGCCAAAAACAATAGCCTCATTGTCCTCTGAAAAGAAGGGGAAATAAATATCTTGAAGAGATGTGGCATTATACCATTTGGGATATGGTTGGTAGCCCTCACTGAGATCTGGTGTGTCTTGGACCTTCTGCCACTGCTGGAAGAAAATCAGCTGGGGCTGTCTGGCTTGGGAGTCACTGTCCCCACCTGTGACTCCAGTGTTCCTCTGTGTGACTCAGGTTTTCTGTTGCCTCTGAAATATGAGATTTGGAAAGCCATCACTGGCTGGAGTCCTAAACCATAATCAAAGTAGTTGAACATCCATCATTTGCACCCAGGATGTGCAACCAGAGAGGGGCTCACTAATGGGAAAAGATAGCAGAAGGGAAGGAGGACCTGTGCAGATGGGAAACGTGGTCCCTGATTGGCTGGGCCTTGTCCCAAGTGAGCAGAGGCTAGGAGAGACACAAGGGGGCATGGACTATTATAGAAGAAAGGTTCACAGCCCGGACTTGTATTCCAGACAGCTGGCCTCCTCCTCTCTTTAGGGCTGGGGCAGAAATAAGTTGCCTTGATTGTGGGGCTTGGCACATAGTTGGGGCCCAATAAATAATTGTTGAATGAATGAAGGATGCAGAGAGCTGTCAGGAAGTGTGTTGGTGGTACTATAAGTGAACAGACTGAGACTTTTCCTGGACTAATTTTTTTTCTTTTTGAGACGGAGTCTCACTCTATCACCCAGGCTGAAGTACAGTGGTGTGATCTTGGCTCACTGCAACCTCCACCTCCTGGGTTCAAGCAATTCTCCTGCCTCAGCCTCCCAAGTAGCTGGGATTACAGGTGCCCACCACCATGCCTGGTTAATTCTTGTATTTTTTTTTAGTAGAGACAGGGTTTCGCCATGTTGGCCAGGCTGGTCTGGAACTCCTGACCTCAAGTGATCCACCTGCCTCAGCCTCCCAAAGTGCTGGGATTACAGGCGTGAGCCACTGCGCCCAGCCTCCTTTACTAATTTAGATGCAAAAAGGCTTCTATATAAACACACTAATAGACAGGTGACAACTCAGGTGTAGAACTCAGAAGAGAGGTCTTAACTAAAGAAACCTTTGGGGGGCACTTGGCAAACAGGTGCTGTTGAAGCCATGGGTGTGCAGGATGTTGCCCCTGGAAGTGACTGATGACGAGGAGTCACTGTGAGACAAGGAGGAGTGGTGCAGAGTCATAGAAGAGCCCAGAGAAAATGAGGTAGCAGGGACCAGGGAAACTAAGATCGAAAGAGGTCACCAGAATCCAAGGTTGCAACACCAGCAGAGAAAGGAGGCCACTGGGCTGGCAGCGAGGAAGTCATTAGTGCCCTTTACAACAGCAGTTCCAACAGGCTGGTGTGGGTGGAAACCAGACTGCAGGCGGCAGACAGTTTGCCAACACTTGGAATTTGTTCTGAGCTTCCAAAGTGTTAAAAGCAAAACAGAAACACATTTGGTACTTATAGCAACACAGGGAACTACATCTTAAATAGCATTTGAGGCTTGCTTCCAAAGTAAGCCTTCAGATTCAGGCTGGCAGTGTTGAGGGTATGTAGTTTGCCATGTGGGATTTGGCTTCCTGGGAAACAGGGATTTATTGATTATATATTGATTTATTTTTGGCCCACTCTTGAGTCTATTAAATTTCTCACCAAGATGCTTATTTCCTCAGGCCAGCAAAGCTCCCAAACTCTAGTTTAAAATATTAATTACGTGAGGACATTATCTTTCCTTAGCAATTAGTCAGGCCAGCAGTACTTACTACAAAGTCATGTGCTTAGTACAAAGTGCTTAGGACAAAGCCAGGACAAAAGTATTTTTGGTAACAAAGAAGGAACCAGTCCCATACTTTAAAAAGCTCATAGACATCACAACTTTCAGTGTGTACATGCCATTTCATTAAATCACCCTACAAAAGTTTAAGAACCACCAGATTGAATGATCTCCAAAGTCCTTTCTAGCTCTGAAAATTATTCAGCTTTGTGGTCAGATGTTAGATATGCAAAATGGCATGGTAATAGTCTGTTCTCACATTGCTATAAAGAACTGTTAATACCTGAGACTGGGTAATTTATGAAGAAAAGAAGTTTAATTGACTCAGCGATCCACAGTCTGTACAGGAAGCATGGCTGGGGAAGCCTCAGGAGACTTACCATCATGGCGGAAGGGGAAGTAGGCTGGTCTTACATAGCTGAAGCAGGCGGAAAAGGGCAAAGGGGGAGGGGCTACACACTTTCAAACAACCAGATCTTATGAGAACTCACTCACTATCACGAGAACAGCAAGGGGGAAGTCCACCCCCATGATCCAATCACCTCTCACCAGGCCCCTCCTCCAACACAGGGAATTACAATTCAACATGAGATTTGGGCAAGGACACATATCCAGACCACATCAGGCAGGGACACTGTTACCTGTGGGGGAAACTGAGGCATGTCATGGGCAAAGGAAATAAGAATAACTGCAGCTCATGCCCTCTCTTATATCTCCACAAGATGGCAGGAACAATCAAGAGCCTGCATGGATCAGACCCAGTTCTGGGCATTTCTCATGTCCACCTCCATTCAGTTTCCATCAGCCCTACAAGGGGCTTCCTTTTCTTCTTCACATCTGAGGAACTTGGAACTCTGGGAGGTTAAGAAACCTGCCCACGGTTACATGGAGAATGTGACCCATCTGGAATATAAGTCAGGTCTGTCTTACTCCAAAGCCTACGTTCTCTCTACTAGAAAGGCAGCCCTAATCAAAGAATAAATGGGAAGTGTGAAAGTCACTTTTGCACTAGGCCTTTGGGTTCATCTTGAAAGACTCAGCCTCCAGCCTCAGTTCCCCTTAGGAAGTCAAATGCACTACATCCATCTAGCGTCATCAGCATTTCCAATGCCAAAACTCCCTGTGAAGACTTAGCATTGAAATATTCTATCAAACAGCCAAGAAATATGTGAACAGTCCCCAACCTCACTAGTAATCCCAGAAATGCAATTCAATTTTATACCAGTCAGATTGGCCAAAATAAATAAATAAATAAAATCTGACAATAACAAATTCAAGCAAAGATGTAGAATAGTGAAAACTCTTAAACACCACTGGAGGGGACTCTGGATCTACTTCAAAGTGAACTTGAAAAGACATAATTGTACTCTAGGTCTATACCCTAGAGAAAGTCTTCCCATATAGAAATAAGAAGACATGTACATGGATATTCATGAATGCATTTTGTAATAGCAAAAGAGAGGAAAAAACAATCTGCCTAGAGAGAATGGATAAATAAATTATACTGTGTTGTGTTCATTCGATGGAAAACCAAGTAACAACGAAAATAAATGAACTAGATCGACCTGTTATTACATGGCCAACTCTCAAATATTATACAAAAAAAGCAAGTTGAAGAAGGATTTATGCAATATGCTAACACTTCTATAAAGTTCACCCACATGTAAAACATCCTGTGTATTTTTAGGAATTTATATATGTAGTAAAAAGAATAAAGCATGCATAGGAATGACAAATGTCAAATTCAGGAGAGAGGGTACTCAGAAAGGTAGACAAGATGATGGAGTCATGAAGTGGGGTGCAGGGGCCTTTGTGTTTGTAAGCCTTTATTATTTCAATTGTGTTGGATGGTCAGCGTGTAGGTGGTCATTATATTACTCTATATTTTATGTGTGCTGAAAATAATTCATTAACAATAAAAGTTGTCTACTTAGCCAGTATTTGCAGTAACACATTGAGAAAGCAAGTTCTGGGATATGAATATGCATTATAAAGAAGGGTTAAGTGATTCAATAAATCTGAGGAACACTAGCTTAAAATTAAATAAGCTTTAAAAAGATACTCAGTGCTTTTCACATCCTGTTTCCTGTAACTCTCAAAAAGGTTATTCTGTTTAAATATTTTACCATAGAGCAGGGGTGAGCAAACTATAGCTGCTTGCTACCTATTTTTATAAGTAAAGTTGTGTGGGAAAACAGCCCCTCCCACTCGTTTAGTATTCTGCAGCTGCTTTCCCACTACAGTGGCAGAGTTGAGTAGTTAGGATAGAGAACATGCGGTCCTCAAAGCCTAACATACTATCTGGCCCTTTGCAGAAAAAAATTTTGGACCCATCATGGAGCATCTTGTGGGACTTGTGTTACTAGGAGTGCATTTGGGGATTGGAACACTAGAAATTTGCCCTAACACTTGGGAATTTGGTTTGTTTATTGGTGAAAACTGTTATGAAGAAGGCCATCAGTTCTTTCTAGATTCCTTGGAGGGTGGATGGCATGTGTGCTTTCATCTTGAATCTCCAGCACCGAGCCCACTAGCTAGCATATACTTAGCACTTCACTGAAGTACTTCACTGAATTGATCTAAACTTGAAAACCATTTGTGGAATGGATTAATTAGGATATAGATTCATTAGTTATAATGGACATTCAAAATACATGTGGCTTGGATAAGATAGGAGTTTTAAAATCTCCCTCATATAACAGTCCAGACATAAGCAATCCTGGGCAACTCCACGAGGTTGGGGACCCAGCCACCTTCCCTCTTGTTGCTCTGCCATCCCTTGGGTGATACCTTCCTCTGCATGGCCCCACCCAGCAGGACTACGTCTATCTAGTGGGAAGAGAGAAAATAGAAGGGCAGGGCATGCCACCGGAGATTGCACACGTCACTTCCCCTCACTTCCTATTGGCCAGCACTTGGTCATATGCCCATACATAGCTGCAAGAGATTCTGGGAAATGTAGTCTTTAGTTGAGCAGCCATGTGTCCAGCTAAAAATTCAAGACCTGCAGCAACACATAAAAAAGGTAAGGTCTGAAAGACAGCAAACAGTCTCTGCCAGAGGGGATGCATTAAGGGCTTGCATCCTTAATTAGAGGTGACTCCTTCTCTGGAGGTGGCCCTCATTTTTGACTCTTTGAACATAAGCCATGATGCTGAAGCAAGATAATGCTGCCTCGTCATTTTCTACTCAAAATCACATGACAACACATTCAGACATGTGCACCGTAATTTCATTCTCCTGGGTGTTTGCGCCCTTGCTTTTGAAATAAATATTTTTAAACATATTCAGACAGACCCAGAATTTCTATCTTTTGGTATCTCTCCCAAATCAGGAAGAATTGGCAGGGAGGAGGACTTAGAATCACTTGTTTTACCTTATCTAAGCCAGGTTTAATGAGCTGGTTCTTTTCTGTACTTCAGTAGCAGCATTAAACAGCAAGTGGGCATGATTTTTGGACAAAGATTCCTCCTAGGAACTTTTGCAAGTGTTACATACTCCATTTGCTGAGATAATATAATTTTATCTTTCTTTCTTAGAAAGGTGCACAGAGATCTTGGTGTGACTTACCTCAGCACAAAGCACTCTCAATTTGTTCATCTTTTTGCTACCCAAAAGAAAAGGGAAAAAATCATCAACCAGGAGACTGGAAGCCCATGAAAGGGAGTTTGACTATGGCATTCTTGGGACAGTGTGTTGAGGAGGGGGGCCAGTATCCGAGTCAGACATATAGTCCTCTGATTTGCCATTTCATGACTCATTTCTGAAGGCGCCATTTTATTGTCATGCTTACAAAATCCTGTAATGGGAACTACTTGATATATAAAAGATGATGCAAAAAAATTGTATTACCCTACACCAGGGTCTTTCAACCTCAGCACTACGACATTTGGGGCTGGATAATTCATTGTTGCTGGGGGCTGTTGGTGGGGGGCACTCTGTGTATTGCAGGAAGCTTAACAGCACCCTCACCTCTACCTACTAGATACCAGCAGCACCTCTTCTGTGTGACAGCCAAAAATGTCTCCAAATGTCCCCTGACAAAAATCGCCCCTGGTTGAGAATCACTGACCTATGCAAACCTAAATGTGTTCATAGAGAGACTTGCTGAATGACTTTGGAAAAAAGATGGATTTTGTTCCTAAATATGACTGTGACTCAGACAAATTAGTCAGCGCTTCTGGTGCTCCCAGTTTCCTGATCTTAAGAAGGTAAGGCGTTGGGCTGTGCAATCTCTTTCAGCACTGACATTCTGGGACCCTGCAAGTCAGAAGCTGTTATATGGGATCTGTTTCTAGAATATGATTTGAAGGAAAGCAAGCCACAGGGGAGCAGATTTGACCTGAGGAGCACCCCATTTATACAGGCAAGAAAGCAGTAGGGAAATGTGTATTCAGAGTGGGAAGCAGGCCTTGCTGGCTGCAATGGGGGGAAAAGAAATGCTTAAGAGGTGGGGAACTTCCCAGAGGAGCAATGGCAAGAGAACCTTAAACTTGAAGCCTATGATTAGGAATATATATTTCTTTGGCACCCTACGCAGTACCTGGCATCTAATAGTTTGTTGACCAGACAGCAGCATTGGAAGAGAATCTAAGAGAATGTGGAAGGCCTTTGATAGCACAGAGGGGCAGTGGAGTTGGGCGGGAAGAATAGACTCCAGCAATAGCCTGCCTGGTTTCAAATCTCAGTTCTACTACTGACTAGCTGTGTGACCTTGGGCAAGTTTCTTAGCCTCTCTGTGCTGTCATTTTCTCTTCTGAAAAATTAAGATGAATTTTGTAGGATTAAAGTAAGGATTAGATAAGATCAAGTATGTGAATGAGTATATATGTATGCACATATATTTATATACATATATATGCATTCACATATATTATTTCACATATTTATATTCACATATAAATAGGTAATATATATAAGCATATGTGTATATATACGTATATTCACTTATATATTTATAAATATTGTGTGTGTATATATAATTAGAATATTTCCTGGCACATAATAAATGCTATGTGTTTGCTATAATTATTATTTGAGAATCATAAAATATTAGGTATGGAAGCACTCAAGAATTTCTAGCACACTGTTTGACATTTAACAGGTGACAAGAATGAATTAATGAAGATTTCTTAAAATATTAGTCCCTTAATGTTCATCTGTAATACCAGAACATATCACATTGCACCCTATTCCAGTCAAGGATCCAATTGCAAATGCCACTAGGGCCAGGCAGGAAACACACGGGTGGATTCAGTTGGATGTGGGGCAACAGGGAGAACTGAGCAAGTGTATGCCACACATAAAAGTTTTCAAATTTGGCCTGGTGCAGTGGCTCACGCCTGTAATCCCAGCACTTTGGAGGTCAAGGTGGGTGGATCACTTGAGGTCAGGAGTTCAAGACCAGCCTGGCCAACATGGTGAAACCTCGTTTCTACTAAAAATACAAAAATTAGCCAGGCATGGTAGTGGATGACTGTAATCCCAGCTGTAATCGGGAGGCTGAGGCAGGAGAATTGCTTGAACTTGGTAGGTGGAGGTTTCAGTGAGCTGAGATCGCACTACCACACTCTAGCCTGGGCGACAGAGCAAGACACCATCTCAAAAAAACAACAACAACAACAACCAAAAAATAGTCTTCAAACACCGTATTGGCACAGAGCATGAGTCTTGGGATTGCATTGGCCAAAACCCCTAGAGTTTTCCCCTCTGCATCCAGGCCAAGAGCCTCTCCCTCCTTCCCTCCCTACTCTCCTTACCCCTCCACCTTCCTTCCCCCTTCCTTAAGTTCTTTTCCAGTCAGACCTCCTTGCCTCACAATAAGAACAGAGTGTAGCTTTCCCCGTGGCTCTTTGAGAATCGCTGGGTTGCTTTTAAATAAAAGCAGAAAACAGCAAATCTTGCTCTTGTCCCATCTCAGTCTGACTTTATTCAGGTGTCCAGTAAACTGAGAAACTAGAGCTGGACACAGCAGACACCTGCAACCCTGGTGCATCCCTTAGAACTCTACTGAGCAGCCTGGAGTGTAACCACAGACAAACTCAAGGGCACATTGTTGTGCTTTTTTAATGCCCTGTGGGCCATAAATGCATCACCAGACTCATAGATGAAACCTCTACTCTCCTAGATATTCTGAGTCTGTAGACTCTAACATTCTTATCTTGAGCTCCAGAAATTAGGACATTGGAGAAAGCAGCCAGATCTGGCCCTGTACATTCCAGGAAAGACATGTTTCCATTCTGAGCTATTAAGAGAGTAGCCATAATGGACATTGTCTTAATCGGTTTTCTGTTGCTATAACAAAATACCACAGAATGGGTATTTATAAAGAAAAGAGCTTTATTTGGCTCACAGTTCTAGAGTCTGGAAAGTCCAAGAGTGTAGCACCAGCATCTGGTGAGAGTCATCCCACGGCGGAAGGGCAAGTGAGCGTGCACGATACAGAGAGAATGGCAGCTGACCTCACCTCTGCAATAACTAGCCCACTCCCATGATAATAGCATTAACCCATTCTTGAGGGCAGAGCTCTTATCACCTAATCACCTTCCAAAGGTCCCACCTCAAAACACTACCACAATAGCAATTAAATTTCAATTAGTTTTGGTGGGGACATCCAAACCATAGCAGGCAGGTATTTTCTGAGTTCATGTATTAGATAGATGGCCAGCTGCCATAACAGAGTGATTCCAGAGTACAGTGGCTTGACGAAGAGAGATGGTATTTCTCTGTCATGTAATGTATCAGCCATTGCAGGCTGGTGGGGTGACTTCTCCACAAGATCTTTAGAGGACCCAAGTCCCTTTCATCTTGTTGCTTTGCAATTCCTTGAAAGCAGGAGTCAGCAAGCTATGGCCCCTGGGTCACCTTCTGTTTTTTAAATAAAGTTTTATTGGAACACAGCCACACCTATTTGTTTACTGTTTTCAAGCTCTAACAGCAGAATTGAGTAATTACAACAGAGACCATATGGCCTACAAGCCTAAATTATTGACTATGTTGCCTTTTAAGGAGTCTGCCCTAGAGCATTAGGCTCACCTCCATAGTCAAAGCTAGGACACTGGCAAGTCTGCTTATCAGCTGGGGAAAGGGACAAAGGGAAAGTCAGAGCTAGGAGCTTCCTTTTAAGCAAATGACATTGTGTCATGCTGGTAAATGTTTAACAATCATCTGTCCCAGGAGGGTGGTGAGAGCTGTGGTTTGCAGTGTTTGCCAATTTCCATGGTGTAAATACCCCCAGTATGGCTGATTTCAAGTTAGCAATGAGATGTCACTGAACACAGGATGGGGAAGATGCACACAGTTGGCTTTCACAAGCCAGCAAGATCTGGCTTCAGCTCACCACTGGACACAAATGTTACCCATGCCACTTCTACTTACGTTTTGTTGGTGAGAACTTAATCACATGGCTATAGCCAGCCATAGAGTCTGGAAAATGTATTCCCTAGCTAAGTGGCCCTGTACCCAGCCAAAACTCAGTGACACAGGTGATTCTATATTACTATGAGGAAGAAGTGGAGAACAATGGTGGGGATGGTTAAAATTCATTGTCACACATTTCTTTCCCAGGTGATCTTCTTGGCCACAGGAATAAATGTTCGCATGAAATAAGAGCAAAAACAGAGAAGCTAATATGTTGGGATAGAGTAAGGGAGAAAAGCTATTACACAGTAAAGAATGGTACATGAGTACCAGAAGACATGTAATAAACTCAGGGAATGTCCATGCTGGGAGGTACCCAAGAGCTTAACTAGCCTAACATCCCCATTTTACAGACAAGGAAACTAAAGCTGTTAGAAGAAATGTGATTTGTCCAAAGTCACACAGCTAATGGGTGATACAGCCATGATATAACCACATTTATCTGGGCCCTTATCCTGTCTCTGCTCCTGCATTACCCATTGCTTTCAGAACTGTTCTCAAGGGTCTGGATGTTCCTCCTTCCTGGATAAGTCTGGACATGGCCTCAGAATCCCCCTTGACACCATCCTCCAGTCAACCATAGCTGTGAATCAGAGTTGATGCACAAGTTGAACCCTGTCTGCCATCCTTGGTTTAGGTGTTGTTTCAAGGCCACCATGAAATTCCCCGGAGATCCTGAACAGGTGTTGGGGTGTTGACTGCCTGGAGTGTTTCCTGCATTTCAGATGGCTGCCTAGGTCCACGTCATCTAGATATTCCTAGCCTATATGAGTATTACACATCCCGCTTTTCTCAGTGCATGTTCATAAACAGTGCCTCAGCCTAACAAAAACAGATTCATGTGTATGATCTCACTTCATCCTCACCAAAATCTTAACACATATGTACTGTTCTCCCCATTTAATAGATGAGAAAGTGGAAGCATAGCCACAGATGGGATAGTTTGCTGAAGGTAACACAGCAAAGACATGTGCTGTGTCCGCATGCATTTCAACTCCAGCAGTTCCCTGCTGCCCTTCAGTGGTGTCCTGAGTATCCAGACAAGTGAAATCAGCATTATTGTCTACTGGATACCATCCATCTCTGTTATGCACACAGAGGAATATGAAAGGCTGGCGACTTGGTCCTTAATTACTATTTTGAGTTAGTGTTGTGCTTTCATTTCTCCCCGCTAGGTACCTTCATTTTCAATTATGTCGTTACCTGTGTAGCCAAACAGCTCACTTAACTTCCTTTTCCACGACAGCCTTGTGAGGCTGGGGCCCCTCTCTGACTCACTTGCTGTTGTATTACCGCACCTAATCCAGTGCCTGGCCGATACTGGAGCCCAATAAATATGCATGTGTGAATTATTATGTGCCAATTAAAAATAATAATAAAAGCCAAAAAAAAAAGTCTGTATGAATGAATGAGTGATGGTATTTCCCTGAGACTCTGAGGTTCTCCAGAGCAGAAATCACATCCTATTGGCCTCTTTGGATCCCCAGTGTGTGGCACAGAGTAGATATTCAGTAATGTTGAATTCTGCGGAATGGGCTGGGATGGAGTATGGGCATTCACCCACAAACACAGGTCTTACTTGAGCCTGGACTTTGGAATGAGACAGATCTGGGTTGAAATTGAAGTCTAAGGAGCTGAGTGACTGTAGGGCCAGATATGTAACTCCTCTGAGTCTCTGTTTCCTCATCTATAAAACAGGGACATGAAAGCTTACCTTTTGGGGTTCCTGAGGGTTTAAGCAAGATACAGGTGTGAGCTGAGGAGTCAGGATGCCTGGGTTGAGTGCCAGCTCCATCACCTACAAGCTGTGCGACCTTGAGCAACCGATACGCAACCTCGATGCCGCAATTTTTCTTCTGTAAAATGAGCACAACAGTCCACAGTTTATGAGATTATTTTGAAGATTTAAGTGAGCTATTATATGTGAAATACTTAACAAATGAAAAGCTGTCTATAAATGCCAGTCATGATTATGATATTAACTATAGTGTGTTGGGAAAGCTGTTTGTAAATGTTTACTGTGCCTTTGGTTATTGTTATTATCTTTGCTCTCTTCCAAGACAACTAATCTGACTGCTGGATGGAGCCATAGTGTAACCCAAACCACAATTCCCAGGGGCCCACACAGCAGAACGGGGCTGCATCCTCTCATATTTATCCCCACAACAGCCAAACACCTCAGTCTGCACCTTCCAATGGTGGGCTTCAGGAATCTTCCATATGAGCAAGGAAAAGTGACTTTTCCTCTCACACAGCTCCCCAGGCAGATGGCTGCTGCCTTGGAGAGGAGCCTTGGAATTTGCTCTGTTGCAGATTGCCAACCTGCTGGTGAGACCCAGATGAATGAGAACAGAAACACATGCACAGAGAAGTGAGAAGCCACTGGAGCCACGGCAGAGCTCTCACGAGGCCCTGCAAGTGACAGGCCACAGGGAGGGCTGGGATCAGAGGGACCAGGCTCTAGAACAATTGGAAAAGGACTTGGCAGCAAGGAAAGACCTGCCCTGGGATTGGAGGATTGTGTGGCTGAAGGATGGTGGTGGGGGGGTGTCCAGATGGCCTGATTAAATCCCTGGAGAGAGGATCTGCAATTATAAAATCATAGCAATGAATTACGCATTCCATGTATTAGGCAATTATTATCATCACACACCGTGCTAAGTGGTTCAAAAGAATTATCTCTTTTAAACCTCATTGCAGATGTAGACAGTGAAGACTATTATCATCTTCCCTGTTTTGCAGAGGGGGAGACTGAGGCTTAGAGAGTTTTTTTCACCTGCCCAAGATCCCTTAGCAAGTAAGTACTGGGATGTGAATTTTGGTCTTAGGCACCAGCCTCTCCTGCCTCTGTGAGGGCAAAGGCTTTGGATTCAGACACTCAGACCTTCGCCTCAGTTTCCTTGCTGGTAGAATTGCATAATGATGATGATCTCCTCCCAAGAGAGGATCCATTGAAGTGGTGAAAATTGGCTATTTAGCACCGTGTGTGAAACACAATAAGCACGTAATAAAGGGTGTAGTGTTTCTATGAGTGATCATGGTTATTGGGGCTGCTCGGGCCTTTTGTGGTACAGGATCCCAGAGTCATAGTATGAGGAATCCCTTTGGAAGCCTGTGCTTCCAAGCAGCAGCAGCAGCCCAGTGTTTGGCAGCACATCACTAAGAACTGGGCCATGCAGAGTGATCAGCAGGATGGACTATGGAGCCAGACTGCTGGGTTCAAATCCTGACTCCTACTCAGCTGTGTGACAATGAGCAAGTTGATTAACCCCTCTGTGCCCCATTTTCCTTATCTGTGAAATAAATTTAAAATAATAGTGCCTTCATCATAGGGTTATTATGAGGATTAAACAAGTTCGTATTTGTAAAAAGCTTACAATATGCCTGACAAATAGGAATGCTATGTAAGTATTTGTTAATAAAGCATGTTAAATAAGATTAGTGTTCCCATTTTACATATGAGAAAGCAAAATGAAATTAAAGCTGTGCCAGGTTGCCTGGTGAGTGAGGGCACAGCCAAGGGATGAACCCGGGCAGCCTGGCCTCCGAGCCCAGATCCTCAGGGGTGGGCTTAACAGAGTTACACTGGAGTAAAACTCTCAGGGAACCTGGGAGCTGCCGGTTACCTTCTAGCAACAGTGAGGTCAGGATTGGTCCTTGGAATCAGAGACAAAAAGGAGGGCCACGAGCCTGGTAGGGTAGGCCCACGGCACCCTAAGGGTCTCTGAACTATTCCAGAAACTGCATTCATCTAGCACTGACTCCCTCCCCACCCTCTGCTATCACTCACAAAACCATGCTGGACAGGGATGGCAGCCTTCCTGGGGGCCAGGCTTTCCCCACTGGGTAAGGTCTACTGTGATTCTGGTGGTATTTGTTAGATATGATATCTAATTTGAGACCTTAAAAAGCACTTGGACTGTAGTCTCTGTGTCTCTGTATTTGCTTCTTCCAAATACAGTATATTCTTTCCAAAGTCTGCACTTTGCTTTGTAATTTATTTAATGATTATCATAGGAGATCTCTGACACTTAATGAGAGCTGTATGCTGAGCGCAGTACTCTGCTAAGCGCTATACACGAATTATCTCATTTAATTCATATCCAAAATCCTGTAAAGAAAGTATTACTAAGTTCAGTGTACAGATGAGAAAACTGAACAATAAAGTGGTTACGTAACTGGCCCCAAGATCACACAACTGCCAAATAGCAGACTTGGGATTTGAGATACCAGAGTTTATGCTCATAATTTCTATGCTAGCTTTAAAACATAATAAATGCATAAAGATGTCCAGGGCCTGACCAGCTTGCATTTGGCACTCACAAAGCATCCAGAGATCAGCAGAATGCATTAACTCCCCGCCTCGGTGCCGCCTCCTTCCCAAGAGAGAGAAAGCAACGCCATCGCTTGCTGTCCTCAGGCCTGCAGGCTTCCTGGAAAACATCCTTCTAAAGTCATGTCCCTGAAGTGGTGGAAGATATTGAGCCTATCTCTCGGGGCTGGGGCACTTGAGAATCAGAGAAATTGACCACCTCGGTAGCTGCCCTCTCACTTAAATTGATCAGATTTTTTACTGCATCATTGAAAGCCACTTGAAGGGAAAACCATAAAGCTGGTTGCCTTCTAGTGATGCCCCAGGTGACCAGCTGAATAGATTTCTGCATAAATAAGTCAGGCACTCAAGAGGGCACACTTATTTGTCCAGGCCACGGAGGGACATGTTGGTTTACAGTGGTGGAGATCCTTCAGAAACTTTCTGGAAAGACTGTATGGGGCTCTCAGCCACATTTACAGATATGCTACAGGAACTTTTTTTGCAGAGTTAAACATTTCTGACAAATCGGGTTGAACAGAAAGCCACAGTTGTCATAGATTTTTATGGAAAATGTTTCTTACCTGCTCTAGTTCACTTGCCTGACTTAGCTGGTAAAATTCAGTAACCAGAACCATTATTTATTATTTATTTTGGATGACCAAGGGATTATTGATAAACAGATGCCTTCTGGGGCCTGCTTTCAAGAATGAAGACCACACAATGGCAAAGGACGCTCTCTTCAGTAAAAGGCTTTGGGGAAACTGGATATCCACATGCAGAAGAATGAAATTAGACCCTTATGGCATCCATATACACAAATCAGCTCAAAATGTAAGACCTGAAACTGTAAAACCACTAGAAAACACAGGTGGAAATTTCCATAACATTGGCCTGGGCAATGATTTTTTTGGTGATGACTCCAAAAGTATAGGCAACAAAAGCAAAAATAGACAAATGGGATTGCATCAAATTAAAGAGCTTCTGCACAGCAAAGGAAACAATCAACAGGGTGAAGACACAACTTATGGAATGGGAGAAAATACTTGCAAATCATACATCTGATATGGGGTTAATATCCAAAATATATCAGGAACTCAAACACCTCAATAGTAAGGAAATTATCCGATTAAAAAATGAGTGAGGGCCGGGCGTGGTGGCTCATGCCTGTAATCCCAGCACTTTGGGAGGCTGAGGCAGGCGGATCACAAGGTCAGGAGATCGAGACCATCCTGGCTAACATAGTGAAACCCCATCTCTACTAAAAATACAAAAAATTAGCCAGGTGTGGTGGCGGGCACCTGTAGTCCTAGCTACTCGGGAGGCTGAGGCAGGAGAATGGCGTGAACCCAGGAGGCAGAGCTTGCAGTGAGCCGAGATCACGCCACTGCACTCCAGCCTGGGCGACAGAGTGAGACTCCATCTCAAAAAAAAATGAGTGAAGGCCAGGCACGGTGGCACTTTGGGAGGCCGAAGCAGGCAGGTCACTTGAGCTCGAGTTCGAGATCAGCCTGGCCAACATAGAGAAACTCTGTCCCTACTAAAAATACAAAAATTAGCTGGGCATGCTGATGCATGCCTGTAATCCCAGCTACTCAGGTGGCTGAGGCATGAGAGTCACTTGAACCTGGGAGGCAGAGGCTGCAGTGAGCTGAGATCGCACCACTGCACTCCAGCATGGACAACAGAGAGAAAAAAAAATAATGAGCCAAGGTCCTAAACATGTCATTTCTCAAAAGAAGACATATAAATGGCCAACAGGTATATGAAAAAATGCTCAATATCGCTAACTGTCAGGGAATGCAAATTAAAACTACAATGAGATATCGCTTCACACCTGTTAGAATGGCTGTTATCAAAAAGATGAAATATAAAAGTGTTGGCAAGAGTGTCAAGAAAAGGAACCCTTGTACACTGCTGGTGGGAATGTAAATTATTACAGCCATTATGGAAAACAGAACAGAAATTCCTCAAAAAATTAAAAATAGAATTACTATAAGATCCAGGAATCCCATCACTGGCTATATATCCAAAGGAAATGAAATCAGTATATCAGAGAGATATCCACACTCCTGTGTTTATTGCAGCACTGTTCACAATTGCCAAAATATGGAATCAACCTGCCTATCAACAGATGAATGGATAAAGAAAATGTGGTATATGTACACAGTGGAATTACTATTCAGTCTTAAAAAAAAGAAGGAAATCCTGTCATTTGTGACAAAGTCAATAAACCTGGAGGACATTATGTTACGTGAAATAATCCAGGCACAGAAAGAAAAACACCATGCAATCTCACCATAAATAAATAAGTATGTGAGGTAAGTAATGCATATGGTAATTAGTTTGATTTAGCCATACCACAGTGTATTCATGTGGTGCACCATAAATACACACCATGCTTAATGGTTAATTAAAATGTAATTGATTTTTTTTAAAAGAATGAATGGTAGATCATTCATGGCTCACCTATCCATTGGCACAGTGTGTGTCAGGCACTGATGGGTATACAATAGACAACAAGATAGATGTGGTCCTGCCCCTCGGAGGCTGGCATGCTATTGGAAGAAACAAACATTTTTTAAGTAAATAAAATAGTCACAAACTGTGAAAAATGCTAACGAGGAGACAAACAAAATTGGCCTGGAGAGCCCTGGCTTGTATGGACGTGTCAGAGATGTCCTGCAGAGAGCCAGGGGAAGGACCTTCCAGGGAGAGGGAACTGCAGGAGCTGAGTCCTCTAGGCAGGAAAGCCACTGCCTCTTGAAGGGTCAGAAGAAAGAGGAGAGTCGCTGTTGCAGAGTGAAGGAGGGAGAGAAGCTGGGAAGGGGGAGCCTGTAGAGCTCAGCAGGCCCCTCCTGGAGAGCTGGACTTTATCCCCAGTGCACTGGAAGGCAGTGGAAGGTTTTAAGCAGGGGCATAACATGGTTCTATTTATGTTTTAAACTCACCCTGACCTTGTGTAAGAGACTGGTTTGGATGAGGAGAATGAAAGCAGGAAGACCAGCTAGCAGGCTGTGGCAGTAACTGGATATCTCAGAGATGGATGCTGGTCTTTGAGACCCAGGTGGGGCAGCAGAGGTGGAAAGAAGTGGATGGATTTGGGATTTCATTGGCAAAACCAACAGCTAATGGAATGGATATGGGCATGAGAAAAGGTTCTGGCCTTAGTACCTGGGTGGACAGTGGTGCTGTTTACTGAGATGGGATGACTGAGGGACAAGTTTAGAGGGAGGGGATAGGTGTGTTAATGAAAAGTTCCATTTGGGACCTGCTAAATTTGAGGGTCTGAGAGCCATCCATAGCTGAGCTCAAGTAGGCAGCTATATGTGTGGAGTCATAGGCATGGTGGAGGGAGAGGGCCAGGTCCCACTGAAGAGGGCAGGATGGGGGGTCAGGTCAAAACCTGGCTCACCACTTACCAGCTCTGTGACTTGGACAGTTTTCTTAAAGTTTCCTCATCTGTGGAGTGGGGCTTCCAGCAGCTCCTACCTACATCAGGACTTGTTGTGATGGTTTGAGTTCATACATAGAAAGAGCTTACATTTCAATAGTGAGAATTCAGTAAATGTCAGCTTCCTGTAATAACAATTATCATCATCTTAGCTACGGTAATTTTCTTGCCATTTGTCTCTTTCTAATTAAAATCAAGTACCTCGATAGCTGGTAAACACATCTCCTGATGTTCTTGCAATTATTCATTTACGAGTCTGTGAGCTCTGTGAACACAGGGTCTGTGTCTCCCACCTTTGTAGCCCCGTAGTGTGGGGCCCAGCATACCGTAGGTGCCCAATAACGTTTATCCAGTCATACGGAATAAAGAATGCATATTTTTCATGCAAAAATGCATATTTGATTGAATCCATCAAGCATGAAGGATATCAGAAGGAACTTAGACAAAAAAGAAGAAACTCCAATGGGTGTCTTTCTGTGACAATAATTTATAGCATCTTTGCTCCCAAGAAAGGAGGTCTTGCTTTCACAAAGGAGCCTCTTCCAGAATTGGATAGTGGTATGTGAGAAGAAAGATTTTCTCTATAGTGAGTCAAATCTGATACCTCCCTGAGATTTGCACACACACAACCCCAATCAAGGGTGCAGACTTTTCACCACGATACACCCAGACCCGTGCGCACCTCTCCCGGAAGCCTCTGTGATGTGTGCTCTGTGACCTTGCTCTCTTACTCTGGCCCGCCTCCCTCTGTCATGTTCATTTTGCCTGAATCTCCTTCCTTACCCATTGTTTAGGGATCATTGGTCCCTTGGATGAAGCCCACAGCTGCAGCAAGGGGTCCCCCCTCCTCCCCTGGAGATAGATGCTGTGTTTACATTCTGGAAGGATCCATGGTTTCCCCTTGTGTTCTTTCAGGGCCCCTAGTCTCTGGCCTCTCCCAGATAAAAGTCAAGACACCCAGTTAAATTTCAGTTTCAGATAAACAATGGATAATGTTTTTAGTATAAGTGTGTCCCATGAAATATTTCTCAAGTATTTTTATTTGCTAAATCTGGTAACCCTAGCTGTAGGAGAGCCATGTTCAAGGCCCCCATGAGGTGTGCCAAGAAGTTCTATGGCTCAGCCACGTTCTGTGCCCTAGAAGCTCAGGTCTCGGATGCTGATGCCATAGACTGAAGTCAGGCTCCGGTCCTCCAGCCAGCTCTCCCCCACTGCCGGGGTAGCCCTCTGTCTTCCCTGGGGAGCCTTCCAACAGCGTTGGGGTGTTCTTGACTTTCCCACCTGCCATGAAAAGGCCTTAATCCTGGAGTCCAGATTCTGATCAACTCTGGGCCCCTAAGTACCTTTTATTGTCCCTCCCAGGGCTCTCCTGCAAATAGGCCCTTGGAGGCCTGGCCTGACGTTTAGGTCCTGAGACAGGTGTGCAGATCAGACCCCTCATGGCAACACCAGGCTTCTGGCTCCAGTCCTTGGAGTCCGTCTGCGTCCCAGCAGCTCCCCCTGGTGGCCAGAAGCAAACGCTTCATGTCTTGCATCTAGAGCCAAAGCATCTCCTACCCCTGGATTCCCATTCCGGAATAGTTTTCAGACCAAGGCTCCTCCGCAAATATGAGTGATGTGTCAGATGAGTGATGAGGGACAGGCCAGGGGCACACACGTCGCATCCACTTCTTGGGGCTCTTGTGGTCGTTCACTCCTCAGCTACTGAGGAGTCTCAGCGCCATAAACCTGGGACAATGGCCCCCTCTCGTTCCTCACAAATTTCACCCTTACTTCCACCACAAAGTGGGTTCATTAGAGGCAGGAACAGAACCAGGAATCTCGAACACCTGGCTCCTCCCCTTAGTTCCCGCCCTCGGAGTCAGCAAGCAGGGGGAGTGTGAGGGGCCTGGGACAGCTCTGACTCTGGCTGACACACCTGCCTCTGGGCAAGGGTGGTGCATATCTGAGGCGGACAGGCACACATGGAGAAGTCAGAGTCCACGCCCTCTGCTCCATCCCAGTAGCCACCGTCTCAACTCAGCCCCTCGTCACTTCACACTTTGGCAGTGGTTTCTGTCCACTCAGCTGGTTCAGTTGGCTCTATCACATCTCCCGGCCTCTAGGGTTGGCTCAGGCCCACCCTCCGTCCTCTCATAGGGCTGGCCATCCAACCATATCACTCCTCTCACGGCTTTTAAGGATAAAGTTTGAAGCCTTAAGGACTACGTCACAGGTCCTCTAGGCCCTGCTTACCTCAGCTTCTGCCTAGAAGTTTATGCCCCAGAAACAGTGAAACCTCCATGTTTACCCTCACACAACCTGTGTGTCTCAACACCATACTTTTGCTCATACTGGCCCTGCTCAAAGCTTTTCTGCTCTCTCATCTCCTATCTTCTGAGTTAAGACACAAGCCAGGTGCAGTTGCTCATGCTTGTAATTCCAGCACTTTGAAAGGCCAAGGCGGGAGAATTGCTTGAGGCCAGGAGTTCGAGAGCAGCCTGGGCAACATAACAAGACCCTGTCTTTACAAAAATTTTTTTTGATGAGCTGGGTGTGGTGGTGCATCCCCGTAGTCTCAGCTACTGGGGTAAGTAAGGCAGGAAGATCACTTGAGCCCAGGAGTCTGAGGCTGCAGTGAGCTATGATTGCACCACTGCATTCTAGCCTGGGCGACAGAGCAAGACCCTGCCTCAAAAATTTAAAATAAAATAAAATAAATAAAATAAAATAAAATAAAATAAAATAAAATAAAATAAAATAAAATAAATAAAATAAAATATAAAATAAAATATAAAATAAAATAAAATAAAATAAAATAAAATAAAATAAAATAAAGACACAGATAGCCCAGTGGTCATCTCCCCCACGAAGGCTTGCTGGATCTGCTAGTCTCTGCCTGGCGGCTTCCTTGCACTCCTGCAGCGCCTGTGTTCTGTAACAGTGCGTGCCTCTGACCCCTCAATCCTTGCATTTGCCACATTGAATTATAACAACCCATGGCTGTGTCCTCTCCCTTTCCAGGCAGTGGGGCCCCAAGGCAGGGATGGTGACATGTTTACTTTGTGTTTTCAGCACCTAGAAGAGAGCTTAGCACAAACAGGTATTCAATAAATGCTTAGTGCTTTGATTTCATCATTAATTGATTGATCAGTTCATTGTGAGAAGGAAGTAACATCCTTTATAAGCAGAATTTGTAGCACCTTCTTGATTCCATTGATTCTCCTCCCCACCCTTCTCTAACCTCTTTCTTGATGCCCTGGGCTGGCTGGATGACAAATTCCCATGCACCTTGCCATTTATATTCCTGTTTGATCTTGCCGGTTCTCTGTCCTGCGACTGCGACTGTTTCGAATGCAGAGAATCCACCCAGTCTGTGTTCATTCAGCTCCCATTAACCTCTATGTGCTTTGCCCTCTCAGGCCCTGGGATGGAGAGGCTCACCAGACAAGGCCCTTGCTCTCAGAAGTCCCCAGCCTAGAGCAGGCAGTCCGACAAATAAACAGGCAAATAGTTAAGTCCTGTGATTGCAGGACAGGGGGACGGTAGATAAACAGGCCAGCTCTCCACACAGACCACCTGGGTTCAAATCCTAGCTCCACTGCTTTCACACTGTGTAGCCTTGGGCAGGGCCCTTATCTGTGTCTGTTTCCCCATGGGTGAAAGAGAGGTCATAGGATTTACCTCTTGGGTTATGTGGGGATTCAATGAATTAATTCATGCAAAGAGCTTAGCAAGAGTGCCTAGTCCATAGTAAATATTCAATACGTATTAGTCGTTATGTGACTTAGCTCAGTATGCTATGGGAGCACACAGGAGACTAGACAGATTCACAGCAGTCATAAAGGACAAAGGATCAAGAGACATCCGGAGGCCATCATTTTAATTGGAGCCTAGGAACAGGCAATTTACATGAAAAGCAAATGCAATGTCCCAGGGTGCTTCCTGCGGAGTTTGCTCCTGTGCCCCTCTGGGAAGCCGCTGTACCCGCATGATGTCTCTTCCCTTCCTTAGGGCCGACGACTGCTTTTGTGCATCTCGAAAGCTGGATGCGGTGGCCATCGAAGCCAAGTTTAAGCAGGACCTGGGTTTCCGGATGCTGAACTGTGGACGAACAGACCTGGTGAAGCAGGCAGTGTCTCTGCTGGGGCCCGATGGGATCAACACCATGAGCGAACAGGTACAGGGTCCGAGGGTCTGAACAGGCTCCCCACCTCCTCCATGTGCATCACCCCTGGCAAGACAGAGACAGCCGGTGAATCCCCTCTGCAGGCGCTGGGCAGAGGCTCCCCCTACTGACGGCTTAGATTGCTTGCTTGCTTGTGTTTTTCTTCAGTTTTTAAAATATCTTATAAAAATACTGTGGTTCATCTTTATAGAAGTAGCACATGATCATTGCAGCTGAAATGGAAAAGAGAGGAAAAACAGGCCCATTCCAGAAAGGAAATAATGCCATCACCGTGTAACCATCATTTATATTTAGTATCTGTCCTTCAAGTCCTTCTTCCATCGTGGTTAAAATTAGTTCTCTGCTTGTCTGTCTGTTCCTGCACAGGACAAGCCCAGACAGACTTCATCAAACTTTTAGGATATGTTTAAGATACACAAAAGTCATTCTGGGGACCCTAGGAGGCGACTCAGAGATAGGCAGCTATCCCCCCTAACTCCTGAAACTGAGGTACAGTGAGAGACATGTGGGCCCAGCAGTCAGGGAGATACCTTGTGTGGTGAACCGTCATGGACAGAGAAAACAAACAGCAGTTATAAATGCAAGTCTCACATGGAAAGTCACAAGGGACAGATGGGGCTGCTTCTCACATGGCAGCTCATGCAGTGAGTTCCAGAGAGGGAATGACAGGGACTATTTATTTAACTACAGCTATAATAATTTTATTGAGCAACACCAAGGAGCTCTAATACACACACACACAAACACAGACATACATGTATATTTATATTCTTTTTAAAACCCCAGTGATTTATTACACCTTGCCTTTTTCAATATTTTATATTAAAGTTACTTTGCAATATTGTTGAATATTCTTTTTTTTTAAGAGATGAGATCCCATTATGTTGTCCAGGCTGGCCTTGAACTCTTAGGCTCAAGAGATCCTCCTGCCTCAGCCTCCTGAGGAGCTGGGACTACAGGTGTGCACCACCACACCCTGCTTATTTTTATATTTTTTATAGAGACAGGGTCTTGCTACACTGCCCAGGCTTGTCTTGAACTCTTGGCCTCAAGGAATCTTCCCACTTTGGCCTCCCAAAATGCTGGGATTACAGGCATGAGCCACTGGGCCCAGTGTCTTTTTTAAAAATCACTTCTAATGGCTATGCAAAATGGTCATTATTATTTATTCACTGACCAGGCGTCAATTGTTGGAAATTTAGGTTGTTTCAAATTACTTTTATTAATAATGCTAAGCTAAACGTATTTACACGAGTGTTTGTTCAAATCTGTGATTATT